>NC_000009.12:36979696-37131212 GCF_000001405.40 Homo sapiens | reverse complement strand
GTCCGCCACCACACCCGGCTAATTTTTTGTATTTTTAGTAGAGACGGGGTTTCACCGTGTTAGCCAGGCTGGTCTCGATCTCCCGACCTCGTGATCCACCTGCCTCGGCCTCCCAAAGTGCTGGGATTACAGGCGTGAGCCACCAGGCCTGGCCATTTTTTTAATATAATAATGTCTCACTGAAATTAAAGTAATAGGGGAGAGTCTGAAGTTTTCACAGATAAAGAGGTAGTGCTGTACTCAAATTTACTACAAATTTAGTAATAGTAAATGTAAAATATGTATGTATTTATTGTCTTTCACAGACTTATGAATTATCTCAAATTCACTAATCCTATTTTTTAAACAAAGTTTTAAGTTTCAACCACTTGTATCACCAGAATTTTGAGACTTAACTCCCATGGTTAAGAGATTTCTGGCCAGACGCAGTGGCTCACGCCTGTAATCCCAGCACTTTGGGAGGCCGAGGCAGGCGGATCACGAGGTCAGGAGATCGCGACCATCCTGGCTAACACTGCGAAACCCCGTCTCTACTAAAAAAAAATACAAAAAATTAGCCAGGCGTGGTGGCAGGTGCCTGTAGTCCCAGCTACTTGGGAGGCTGAGGCAGGAGAATGGCGTGAACCCGGGAGGCGCAGCTTGCAGTGAGCCGAGATCATGCCATTGCACTCCAGCCTGGGCGACAGAGCGAGACTCTGTCTCAAAAAAAAAAAAAAAAAATTGAGATTTCAAAGCTGTGTTCACACCTGCACTCCCAGCTACTCTGAAGGCTAAGGCGGGAGGACCACACAAGCCCAGGAGTTCCAAACTAGCCTTGCTCTATTTATAGGGTAAGACCCCACTGCTATAAAAAAAAAAAAAAAAAAAAAAAAAAAAAAGGAGAGAATTCCGTAAATTACTTAGCTTCCTATATTCTGTCTCTTTAGTGAAACACTATGTCATTCAAGGCTAAAACTTATCTTTTTTTTTTTTTTTTTGAGACAGTCTCACTCCATCACCCAGGCTGGAGTGCAATGGTGCAATCTCAGCTCACTGCAACCTCCACCTCCTGGGTCAAGCAATTCTCCTGCCTTAGCCTCCCAAGTAGCTGGGATTACAGGTGCCTGCCACCACTCCCAGCTAATTTATTTATTTTTAGTAGAGATGGGGTTTCGCCATGTTGGCCAGGCTGGTCTCGAACTCCTGACCTCAGGTGATCCACCCGCCTCGGCCTCTCAAAGTGTTGGGATTACAGGCGTGAGCCACTGCTCTCGGCCTAAAACTTAAGTCTTTTACCACTGTAAGTCACGAGTACTACCTCAGCATTACTTATACCCTACATAGAGGAGATGCTCAATAAATGTTTGATGATTTAGCAATTGATGAGAAAGCAGGTAATGTATGTGCCAAGAAATTACTCTAAATATTATTATAAGCAGGTTTATGAGTATGGAAAAGACCCAACCTCAAGGAGCCTGTAGTCTTTTCTTTTATGTCATACTGCAGTTTTCAGTATGCCATAATTCTGGGAGATATTTTGTTTTTTTCTTGAGTGAGGTCAAGGAAACAGAACACAAAATAATTATGGATACTGTTTAACAATAGGCATTTCTAAAGTACTTGAGATTTTCTCTACACTTTTACAGAAATGAGAAAAATCTTCTCTCTAAAGATTATATGAACCAATCTATCCCCAGATAGTTTTATGAGAGGGATAGTGATTACAGAGTAACAACACACTTAAATGGGCATCAGTACTAAATATGTTGTTTATTAATTGGAAATAGGATTACAGCATTAGTGGATCAAGGAAATAAAATGGAGAATATATATTTGAGTATTTGTAAGAGTTTATAAGAGTCAAGTAAATTAATTTCCAAAAATTCAGAATTTAATTCTATTTGGCTAAAACAGAAAACAAATCCAAGGTTCTCTCTACTTTCTCATCACCATCATTTGCCAAATATGGCACAGTTCGATTTCTTCACTAAATCCAGCACCTAATTCATGTTTTTCCCAACCTATCCACATTGTGCCATCAACTTTAGCATGTCTGTAGATTCTCTAGTGCAAACAGAAAGCAGCAGGGAGTTGTTTCAAAGGAAAGATAATAAGCTTTTTTTTCAAGTTATCAAGCTTTCTTTTCAGTATGTCAAATGTGAGACAGTAAGATACCCAAATGGAAATATTCTGTAGATGTACACAGAGAATTTGAAATCAACAAAATGGTTAAGGAGATGACAATTTGATGACCATAAATACAGAAGTGATTAATGAAACTAGGTGTGATCTCAGGAAAAGGTAATTTAGAGAAAGAATAAGCTAAATGCTTATTTTGGCCTTCTATAGTGTTACGCCTAACCCAAGATCATTTTGTTTCTGTCATCTTGCTCCAAGCTGACAAGTATTACTGGATAAAGTTATGGAATCCTTCAAAGTGAGTTCACTACAAGTTCACATCATTTTAATTTTGACTGAATACTACTTCTAAACAATCCTTTATTCTCTTACTGTTGATTCACTCAAGTGCAATGATTTCCAACTTAAGAGCCTTCAGCCTCCTGGGAAACTGCAGAATTAGTTACCTTAATGGGTACCTAGAGCAACGCATTATAAACACTATTTCTCACATATCAATGTTGTGATTAATAAAACACAAAGTCATGTAAGAGTAGTAGCTTCTTTCTAATATGCATTTTCTCAATTGAATACTAAAATCATAACTACAACCATGGGTGGTCCACAAATTGTTTCAAAGTTACACAGGTTGTCATCTTCAAAATACTGGTAACCACTGCCTCAAAGTATTCCCCACAGCACTTAAACATCCCTTCCACATTCTAAGCTTCCAATTATCCCCCGCCCTCTCCCACTTCTGCTTTCATTTTCCTAAGAAAATCAAACACATCCCCATATGTTCTCTCATCTGCCTCAATCCATCTGAATTTATTCTTTCTCCTCTACCTCTACAAATATTTGATGATTTAGCAATTACTAGTGTCTCTCTTCCTTTTTAGGAATAATTCAACAACACATACACCTGATCCTATCTCTAACCTGGCCCCCAACCCAATCCATCAAACAGGTTTAGTCTCTCCTTCACAAGTTTCTTTCTTTCTACCTACAAACATTATCAGAGCTCACCTATATGGAAAAAACTTTACGCGATTCTGTTCTGTCCTAACTACTATTCTCTCTTTTCGTTTTGCTGTCAAGTTCTCAGGGTTTGCAAACTACAGCCTGAGCCGGCCACCTGTTTTTGTAAGTAGGGCTTTACTGAGAACAGCCACCCCCATTTCTATAGGTATTATTTAAGGCTGCTTTCCCACAAGGGCCAAGTTGAGTAGTTAAGATATCACATGGCTTGGAATCCTAAAATATTTTCTATCTGGCTTCTTAAAAAAACATTTGCCAATCCCAGGGGCTCCAAGCACAATCTACATTCAATGTCATCATTTCTAGGGAAGCAGGCTGCCATTAAAAATTTTGGAGCAGCAATAAAGTACTATGAGTAAAAGAGCATTTCAATACCAGTTTTAACAACAGTGTACAGGGTAGATATAAAAGAAGACTACTTAGGAAACTAGTGCAAGAGACTGAGCATTAGGCATAAAGGGAGGGAAATGAAAAGGAACTTCTTGAAGGCATAAGCATTAAGACTAGATGACTACATGTCACAGAGACATAACTAACACCAAAATTTTAATCCTTGATGATGTAGCTATCAAAATTTGCATTCTCCCCTATAACCTGCCCTAGACTTACAGCTCTTCATATTTTCCTGTCTTTCTGACTGTGGAGTACCTAAAATCCTAATCCTAACACTAATTCCATATATTCTGTGTGCCAGACATTCCCTATGCTTGCCATCTAACTCCTGGGTAAGCAAATCCCATAGGAAGAGACAGTCCCAACAGAGTTGGCTGAATGAGTGCACAGGGCTAATGCCAGAGGTGGATGGAGTACTCACCTGTGGTACCAAGCAGAGAGAGAGGGGGGAAGTAAGATTTCAGGTCCAGAACTGGCTCTAGCCAAACAGGAAGAAGCAGCTATGAATCTGCTTACAGCAGAAGCAGAGTGTCTTTGGTATTCTGACATACTCTTTCTGACGTTCAGACAAACCACCATTAGAGTAGCCACTGGTAAGAGAGTCGCATGAGAAACAAACCAAAAAACAAGACCAAAAAGTGAGGAATTAAACGGAGTAGACCCTATTGGTCTTTTCTCTAGGAAAAGCAGTCCTCCTTATGAAAGATGATACTACTTTCAAAATGGCCAATATGATACTAACCTTCAGTAACAGAGTTTTCACATCCCACAAGGTTGAGAAGGATATCATCATCTTTATCATCTACTTCACATCCCAGTAGCATCCAGCTTTCCACATTATCACCTTCTGAAATGGTGCTCTCTTCCTCTTCACTTGAACTGACCTCTATAATCATGACCTCTCGGATTACACCTGATCTCTCTTCAGATTTAGGCTTCTCAATATCACTCTTGCATTTCTTATCAACCAGCTCATTAGATTGAAGAGAAGAAGAAAGACCATGGGCATTTTCTTGTGCTTGAACTCTAACATTCTTTCCTTTACATCTATAAATACTGTCTTCATCAGACAAAGTGATGACCTCTGACCCATCTGACAGCTGGATGACCTCACTATCTGAAAGGACGATTAGCTTCTTCTGATTTGGTTTACTACTCGAAGATTCCGAATTCCCAGAGTTCTTTTCTTCATGCTCTTCCTCCCTGATGACATCATCAAGATCTTGGGCATAATGAATTTGGCTATAGAGTTGAAATTCCACCTCACTATCAACACTCAGTTCACTAGATGACTCATCTCGATAAAGATCATCTTCGTATGCTTCTATAGTCTCATAGCCACCAAACATCATAAAAAGTCAGTAACCTTGAAGCTGCAAAAGAGAAAGTTGTACACAGAATATACTTTAAAAGTTCAGATCATGCCAGTTTAAGTAACAATATCACCTGTCAGTGACAACTGCTAATATGAAGGCCATCACTATTCTCAGACATATTAAAATACCTTTTTTTCCAAGGATTTCTAAGTCCTGTTAGGACCCACTCCTGTAAGTCCCACCACTCCCCAACGAGAATTACTACTGACAAATTGAGTTATAGTTATTGATGGAAACACAGTCAACACTCTAAGAAATGCTTTGTTCTGTGATTTCATCGTGCAAACTTCATAGGATGATTTTCACAAACTAGATGGTGTAGTCAACTACACAACTAGGCTACATGGTATGGTCTATTGCTCCTAGGATACAAACCAATACAGCATGTAACGGTGCCAAATACTGTAAGTAACTGTAACACAATGGTATTTGGGTATCTAAACATACAAAAGATATAGCAAAAACGTATACAAATCCTATGGGACCACAGTCACACTGTCTGTCTTTAACCAAAATGCTATTATGCAGCACATGATATGTAAGATTTCACAGGTATATTGTAAACGAAAAACAAATTGAGATCTACCGCAGGATACAAAACCCTTGCTTTCCAAAATGTTAAAACAAAACTTAAAGCAGCTCTCACTATCCTATCCATTCTTCATCTTTTCCTTGGTTCTGGTTCTATAGCTCATATTTTCAAGCATATACAGGAATATTACTTCAATTATGACTAAAATCTATAACAGGAAACAATTTTGTTTACTGTTTGGGTGTAAATGTATATTCTCAATTAACAAATTAATCGCACGGCCCTCTGATCATTGGCCAAAAGAATAAATAAAAATGCCTGAGCTGGCAGTGGCTCATGCCTGTAATCCCAACACTTTGGGAGGCCAAGGCAGGAGGATCACGTTGAGGTTAGAAGTTTGAGAACAGCCTGGGCAACACAGTAAGACCCCATCTCCATAAAAATTAAAACTAAAAACTTAGCCAGGCATGGCAGTGCAAACCTGTAGTCCCAGCTACTACTCAGGAGGTTGAGGTGGGAGAACCGCTTGAGCTCAGGAGTTCAAAGTTACAGTGAGCTATGCTCATACCATTGTACTCCAGCCTGGGTGACAAAGCAAGAACCCAACTCAAAAATAAAACAAGGGTGGGCCAGTGCAGTGGCTCACGCCTGTAATCCCAGGACTTTGGGAGGCCAAGGCGGGTGGATCACTTGAGTCAGGAGTTCGAGACCAGCCTAGCCAAGATGGTGAAACTACATATCTGCTAAAAATAAAGAAATCAGCTGGGTGTGGTGGTGTGCGCCTATAATCCCAGCTACTCAGGAGGTGGAGGCACAAGAATAGCTTGAACCTGGGAGGCACAGGCTGCAGTGAGTCGAGATCATGCCACTGCACTTCACCCTGGGCAACAGAGCAGACTGTCTAAAAACTCTGTACTAGTTACAAAAATGTATATTTTTACAATGTATATTTATAATGTATAAATACAAACTTAATAATGACCCAATATTGAGACAAAACTCCCAGCTTTGGGAATAAATGTGTAAAGTGAAACACTTTACTTTCTACTGTGAGCATATTAAATCCTCCTCAGCCTTCATCTTTTAAACTCAGCTCAAAATCACTTGCAACCAGGCTAAATTAAGAGCCCCTTTTATGGGCTTCCATAAGTACTTTACATGTCAAAACACTCATCACATTTATAATTACTTATTCAATATAAATTTCCAAGAAACGCAGATCACAAATCCCAGGAGGGCAGGAACTATATGCACTCTGCTAAACAATGAATCACCAAAGCCAAACAGGGTAACTGGTATTTTCGGGGTCAGCTACAAACGTTTGCTGAATTCATAAATGAATAAATGAACTACACCATCGGGCATTTGTTCTTCAGCCCTGATAAATCTAGTATGTGCTTAAAATACAAAAATTATGAGATGAATTTCTCTGTTGTCTTTCGACTACTCCAAAGTCTTAAATTCTAGCATCAGCAACCAAAACTCTACACAGTAGATGTTTCCATTAGGTACTGATGGACTACTGATTAAAATGAGAGCCCTGAAAAAATAAGTGTGTGTCCAAAATCAGGGACAGCCTAAAGAGCAATAATGATGCCTATTTATTCTTTCTTCCACTAACAGCTATACACATAAAATAAAAAATAGTTGTTTTCTTAGTGTCCCAAATTTCTGCCCAAAAATACCAGGGTGTTGTGGTGGTAGTTCTGGTAATAGAACCACCTTAATCCCAAAAACCAAATGGACAAGAGCCAAAAATGTACTACATTCCTACTGGAGTTGTTTGTTTTCCAGAAACAAATAAACCCACCTGTAATGCTTTTCTTCTAAAGGGTATCATATACCTGTGCCCTTGTTGCACTGTCCTTCAGGTGGCTATGCTGTTACTGTCACACAAATTGAATGTGATTGTCTGAATAATGCTCACAGCATTCATCAGTTTATATTGAATTGTTAGCCTCAGAGGAATTCGAATAAAAGATGAATCCTTTCCTTTTTATTTAATAGGTAAATTAATTCTAAAAGAAGTCAAAGGAATTATGCTTCTTTCAAAATCCTCACTGGATCCATCCTGAGGATCCAGTGTGGACTTAAGACAAAACATAATTCCAGTGCAGCACAGAAAAAATTAAAAAGCCAAATTACAAAGTTACAAGTTTGTACTACTCTTGCAGCCATCCCAAAGGAAAGGGATTAAGAATAGAGCCATAGGCACACCTGTGAATGTATGCCAAAAATAAACTACAGAACCATAATAAAAACTGACTTCCTTGGGTCAAAGGATTTATCTCTTTCCCTGAAATGTAGAAAAATGAATTTAACAATTTAGCCCCTATGGCCTTTAAGAGGATTTTGTACCGTCTGTACTTGAAAATTGTGCTGGGCATAACGTGCTCTCTTATTTAGGTAGTTTATGTATGCCAGGGTTAAGGTCTGCCTAAGGTTGTTTTCGTTAATGTTACTGCTTTAATTACGTTCAAATGAATTTAATTTACCCTTTTAAAAAGTGTCTTGGAAGACAATATATGTTTTTTACACACACACGCACACGCACACACACACACACACACACACACACACACACACCCTTGACTCAGAAGGCTTTCTCAGCTTTTTTATCCCTGTACATGATTCCCAAGTATACTAACTAGGTAACAAAATCAGATTATCTCATACAGACTCCTCAATCTTCCCATCAGGAAACTGAAATACAAAGAGATAGGAAGCCTATTCAAGGTTATGCAGCTGGTTAAGAACACGGCTAGAAGTGATTCACATTTCTGTGATTCTCAGCCAACTGTTTACTAAAATTTTTAAACAAATTTCTTTTTTTCCCCCTTGAGACGGAGTCTCGTTCTGTCCCCCAGGTGAGAGTGCAGTGGCGCAATCTCGGCTCACTGCAACCTCCTCCTCCTGGGTTCAAGAAATTCTCCTGCCTCCGCCTCCCAAGTAGCTGGGATTACAGGCACGCGCCACCACGCCTGGGTAATTTTTGTATTCTTAGCAGAGACGGGTTTCACCATGTTGGCCAGGCTGGTCTCGAACTCCTGACCTCGTGATCCGCCCCACTCGGACTCCCAAAGTGCCTGGATTACAGGCGTGAGCCACCGCACATGGCCCAAAATAAAATTTTCAAATAAGTTAACTTCAAATTAAGATTTTTTGAAGAAAAACCTTCCTTCATTGCAATATTTGCATTGGTTCTAACACCTAAATTTACCTCACAAATATCCATTTTATGTCCCAGCAGAGTTTAAAAACTAAATGAGACATTTTAGGTGTAAGGAAAACACACGTTTGTCAGTTTGCCATTTAAGAATCTCCCAAGTTGGTACTCAAAAACTATCAATCCCATGACCAGAAAAGATGTTTCCTATATAACATCTTAAAATATCATGCAAATGAAACTTATCTAAGAATTAAAATACCTTAACAAATATAAAACAGCTATAGAATAACTGCAAAGGCTATTACCATTCAAAAGAGGGAGCAGTATTCATTGACTGAATTGTTTTAAACTAGACAACTTAAGGCTTATTTAAGCTTTCAGCATTTACTTAACACAGTCTTTAATCAATCCTTCTGCTCTCACAGTCTACCTACTGGTCATTCTGACCTTTTGCTCTTATTTACTTCCAAATATCTTTAGCCTCCCTAGATGTTCCTTCTTGATGACACACGCATCCATCTCCGGCCGATTTAAATCAAATCCACAGCCTCATTTTCAGTCCAATTTTCATTGGAATGTGATGAATACACTTTACTTTCAAAGTAAAATTTTTCTTACTCTTAGTAAGCTGCCCTGACAGGACAGTTGAAACACAATTGTCTAAAGGGTTAAAATGTCTGTCCATTTTTCAAATGCGATGGCCACTCTGAATCAAATCTGATTGGGATGGAGAATCCAAATGTGTAAAACAAAAGTCACAAAAGACAAACAGAGCACAGTATTTCAGTGGGGGAAAAAAAATAAGCTAAATTTAGTCACTTAAGTCCCAGCTCTTCTTGGGATATATATATGATTTTTACGAGAACTAATCCTATCCGGAAACATTTCCTTCACCTTTCCCTTAGCCCTTTTCCTTCGGTCATGCAGTCTCTTACCGTGCTAATTATCATATTAATATAATCCTCACTTGCGATCCTTCCTGACTTTATTCCCCATGCTCAGATTCTCCTGAAAGCATAACGCTTTCCTAAGTATACACACAATCCATTTAAAAGTCTTTGTATGCGACAGCCTAACTATTCAAACACGAAGTCATTTCTCTAACGGTCCTAGAAAAAATTTTAAAAAGAAAAAGAAAACCACAAAGTCAAGAGCTTCTGAGGGGACCTGAAAAGTCATCAAATTGAACGCTCTCGTTTTATAGTTGGAGAAAGGAGCTCAGAGAAACTTATTCACTGAGCTAAAAAGGCCCTACTAATGCAGCCCGTAATTCAACTGTGCAATCTGAAATAATCTTAAATTCAGCTTCAATAAGAGCTTTCTGGAATCGCCAGCGAATCCGTGGGGGAGCCACGGCTAGAACCCAGGCCTCCTGATTCCCAGCCACAGCTTTTCCACCGAACCAGCAGCTCTTCCCAAAAGTTGAAGGCAACTGTCCGCTCACAGGATGGGAGGGATAAAGGGCGCCTTAGTAAACACAGTCCAAGTCTACTCGTTTTACATGAGGAAAGGGTCACAGCTCCCGAAATTTTGGATTCTACTGCTGCAGCTGCTGCTTCTGACAGCAGAGGCGGGAGGTGGCCCAGGACTACTCGGTCCTCAAAGACTGGACTCTCTCTCGGCGCGCCGGGACCTCCGCGCTTCACTGACTGGCTTCCCTAGAAGACTGGGGGCCTTGCGGGGAAATAAAAAGGGCAGACACGCCACCCTCACCGAGGCCCTAGACGCCCAGCCGCTCTAGAATCACGGCATTAGCCCTTGGAAAGCCAGGGAGACGCGGACCCCCTAGACCCGCAGCCCGGCCGCGTGGGGCGGCGCGCAGGTGACGGACCAGGAGCTGCGCCCTGCCACGAGTGAGGGGCGGACGGGAGACGTCGAGGCCGGCGAGGGGGCACGCGCTAGTTCCACAGCCCGGCGGGCAAGAAGGAGGGTAGGCAGGGGTCCCGAGCCGCGGGCGGCGGGGGTCCGTCACACACATACTCACTGCCGCAGCTGCGAACAGGAAGCACCAACCGGGAACCAAAACGCGTAGAGGGACGGGGAGGGGCGAGGACAAATGAGGTAAGGAGGCCGCGTCCGCGCAGACCCGGGAGGGAAGGCACTTCCGGGGACAACACAGCTCTAGTCACCGCCTTTCCGTCCCCGCCCACCTGCCGCGCCTGATGTGCGCATGCGTAGTGGGTGCGAACCGTTCTCTGCCCCGCCCATAATTATTAGGTTTGCCTTCCTTGCTTTCCCCCTTCCCCTTCCCAACTTCTCTTGAAGCTACCTAGGCTGCATCTATTATTTGAATGACTCGTACGAAGGAGATGCTATTTACCGGGCAAAAGCCGGGGAGTTCGTGCCCTCTACCCCCGCGAGGAAAACTACAACCCCCATGAGGACACGGGCGAGGTTGAGGCCGGGCTCCGCCTCCTTCTCCCTGGCGCTCGGTGGACGCCTTCTCAGTGCCACGTGGCGCGGGAGCCTAGCTGATCGCGTGCATGACGAGGGCCAGCGTGGCTGGCTGCTTGGCCCGCAGACCTGGGCAGCGGGAAACGCGTACTTGAGAGCGCATGGCTTCAAGCTTCTCCCTTGCGCTCATGATCTTAGGCTGGTCGCTTTTTCTTTTAGGCGGAACACAGTTCACACTGGGCGCCTCCAACTCTCTGGAATTCTAGGCAACAGATTAACACTTTGTGAATCTCGAAGAGCTGCACTCCTGCTAAATATTGGAGTTAATGCTGATCCTTTGGAAGTCTCTGAAGGTTGCAAGATTGTGCTGGGAGCCTCTGGCTTCATTTGCCCTTCTCACACCTTATTTTAATACAAGGTAAACCCATCTGTAGAACTTTAGAAATAACTGTCGACCTAAAGGAAAAACTGAGGCAAAGTTAATATAAGTGGAGAATTTATTTGGGCCAAGTTTGATGAGGGCAACCTGGGATCATCAATTCAAGTTGCCCTTAATATGTGATCCGATAAGCAGCAGTTTCAACTGAGTTCTTTGTCTTGTGAAGCTCCAGGCTTAAAGGTATCGATCCTCCCACCTCTGTCTCCCAAAGCACTGGGATCACAGGCATGAGCCATTACACTTCTTGTAGCAGCTACGAGTGAATTTTTTTCTTTCTTTATGGTTTTTTTTTTTTTTTTTTTTTTTTTTTTCCTGAGACGGAGTTTCGCAGTTGTTGCCCAGGCTGGAGTGCAATGGCGCGGTCTCGGCTCACTGCAACCTCCGCCTCCCAGATTCAAGCCATCCTCCTGCCTCAGCCTCCGAAGTAGCTGGGATTACAGGCGCCTGCCACCACGCCCAGCTAATTTTTGTATTTTTAGTAGAGTCGGGGTTTCACCATGTTGGCCAGGCTGGTCTCGAACTCCTGGCCTCGACCTGCCAAAGTGCTGGGATTAGAGGCGTGAGCCACCGCGCCCGGCCACGAGTGAATTTTTAAAGGAAAAAAGAAGAGGCTTTTGCTAAACTACATACCAAGAATTGACACTAAAATAACATAAGCTATCCATTGGCTACACATTGTTCTTTCTATCACAAATTTTAGGAACACGAAGATAAAGGGTGATGCAGGTACTGGGAAGAAAAGAACAAAATGCCTTTAAACAATTGCCACACACCCCTACCCCCCACCCCCACCCCCACCACCACCTACATGGGATGGTGCTAACTGAAGTACCATACTCAAGTCCCTCTGGGCCTGATAAAGTTTGAATGCCTGCCTGGCTAATGGGGTAGCTCTCACCTGTTTGGGAGCCCGAAGTGGGAGGATAGCTTAAGGCCGAGAATTCGAAACCAGCCGGGGTAATATAGCAAGACGCTGTCTCTACAAAAAAATTTAAAAATTTAAAAATTAACTGGGCGACTGGGCGCAGTGGCTCACGCCTGTAATCCCAGCACTTTGGGAGGCCGAGGCGGGCGGATCACCTGAGGTCAGGAGTTGGAGACCAGCCTGACCAACATGGCGAAACCCCGTCTCTAGTAAAAATACAAAATTAGCCGGGCGTGATGGCGCATGCCTGTAATCCTAGCCACTCCTGAGGTTAAGGCAGGAGAATCGCTTTAACCCGGCAGGCGGAGGTTGCAGTGAGCCGAGATTGCGCCATTGCACTCCACCCTGGGCAGCAAGAGAGAAACTCCGTGTCAAAAAAATAATAATAATAACAGGGCGTGGTGGCCCACACCTGGAGTCCCAGCTGTTCCTGGCTGAGGTTTGAACTGCGGAGGTCTAGGCTGCAGTGAGCCGAGATCGCACCATTGCACTCCAGAATGAGACCGTCTGAACAAAAATGTTTAAAGCTCAAGCAAGGTGCCTCATGGCTGTAATCCCAGCACTTTGGGAGGTTGAGGCAGGTGGATCGCTTGAGCTCAGGAGTTGGAGACCAGCCTGGGCAACATAAGAAGACCCCATCTATATTTAAAATAAGATCCTTTTCTTAATTAAAAAATTATATAAAAATAAATTTAAAAAAACAAATCTTTTTATAAAAATAAAAATAAATAAGAAATTTTAAATAGTAAAAATTAGCCAGGCGTGGTGGCACACAACTGTATTCCTAGCTACTAAGGAGGCCAAGGTGAGAAGATTGCTTGAGCCTGAGAGTTCAAGGTCATAGTGAGCTGTGATCACACCACTGCACTCCAGCCTGGATGAGAGACCCCATATCTTTAATTTTTAAAAAAATTATTTTTGCATACCTTTAACGTAACTTAGACTGCTCTGAACTATTTTTCTCCTCTCATAATGACACACTGCCAATTCATTGGCCTATTTCAATTCTCCTCAAGACAAGTGTGAGTTTGATTGTTTTCACCAACGTTTATTGAACATCTATCTGTTAAAAGACGGTGTTAGAAAGTGCAGAAAAGCTGTAAATTTTTAAGTCACTGATCTCATAGAGATAGGCATCTAGCTAGGAAAACAGTTATAGTCTAGGAGTTTGGCCAGAAAAGAATTAGAACATTTAATTAACATTATGGGGTAAGTGCTGGGAAGGAGAAGGACAAGGTACTATGAAAAGGTAAAATTGGAGAACCACTTTCCAGAAAAGAAAACAGGCATAGAAGCACATCACAGATGACTAGATTGTTTGTTTTGGTAATATGTATTGTGTAAAACAAATGTCACCTTTTTAAAAATTTAAAAATATATTGCCAGGATTACTCCTGTCCATCTATTATAATATTTTAAATTTCGACAACACTTTGTGGATTTTTTTTTTTTTTTTGAGAAAGGGTCTTGCTCTGTCACCCAGGCTGGAGTGCAGTGGTGTAATCACAGCTCACTGAAACCTATCTCCCAAATGATGCTCCCGCATTAACCTCCCAAGTAGCTGGGACTAAAGGCACACACCACCATGCTGAGTTAATTATTTTTTTAATTTTTAAAACTTTTTTGTAGAGATAGGGTCTCCCCGTATTGCCCAGGCTGGTCTCCAGCTTCTGGGCTCCAGGCCTCAAGTGATCCCCCCACCTCAGCCTCCCAAAGTCCTAGGATTACAGGCATGAGACACTCAGCCCCACCAATACTTTCAAGTTGATGTTTTAAGTTCCAATTTCACACACACAAAAAAAGAAAAGAGGCGTAGAAAGGCTAAGTAAAACTTATAGAAGGCCACAAGTATAGGAAATAATAGTTATGTGCTTCATAATGACATTCCACTCAAAACCAGACTGCATATATGATGATTATTTTATCATATTTTTACTGTACCTCTTCCATGTTTAGATGCACAAATACTTATTGTGTTATAGTCACCTACAGTATTCAGTACAGTAACATGTAGCAGTTTGTAATCTGGGAGCAATAGGCTACATCATGTGGCCTAGGTGTTTACTTGACTATACCATCTAGGTTTGTGTAAATATGCTCGATGAAGTTTGCACAATGAAAAAATCACCTAACAATGCACTTCTCAAAACTTATCCCCATCATTAAATGACACGACTGTACTCCTAATTACCATGTCCCATCTTCCCACTGTCACACATGCATTCAACAAAGATTTACTGCTTTCCCATGCTCAGAATGCTTCAGCCTACCCCTTTAGTTTATGTCTTCAAACCTAGAGTCCTTTGGATGGCATAAAAGGCACTTCATGAGCTGACATCTGCCTACTGTTGACGCTGAATCCTGGGCAGTTGCCAGAACACACCATGCCCTCCCACACCTGTGCCTTTGCAGAGAACACTCCACTGCCTGTAAAGCCCTTCTCCCTGTCCTTCTAACATATACCCACTCACCCTACTCTGCTGAAGTTTTGGGTCTTCAGGGAAACTTTCCACCTTAGCCTCTCTCCACATACACAGCATTTCTCTTTCTAATTGAAGCTGTCTCTACTCCCCATTTCTCCTTTTTATTTTATTTTATTTTTTTTTTGACGCAGGGTCTCACTCTGTCACTCAGGCTGGAGTGCAGTGGTGTAAACACAGCTCACTGGAGCCTCAACCTCCTGGGCTCAAGAGATCCTCCCACCTGAGCCTCCCAAGAAGCTGGGACTACAGGCGTGCATCACCACACTGCACCTGGCTAATTTAAAACTATATACATTTTGTAGAGATGGGATCTCGCCATGTTGACCAGGCTGGTCTTGAACTGTCTCAAGCAGTCCTCCCGCCTCAGTGTGAACCACAGTGCTCAGCCCCTACTTCTTGAAATCATGGGTGACAGCATGCACAAATATCCTGAAGTCTTTCTTACAGAGTATCTTCTAAAGAGACCAACGTTTATTTTATTTATTTATTTATTTATTTATTTATTTATTTATTTGAGATGGAGTCTCACTCTATCACCCAGGCTGGAGAGCAGTGGCGCGATCTCGGCTCACTGCAAACTCCTCCGCCTCCCGGGTTCACGCCATTCTCCTGCCTCAGCCTCCTGAGTAGCTAGGACTACAGGCACCCGCCACAACGCCCAGCTTATTTTTTTGTATTTTTAGTAGAGACAGGGTTTCACTGTGTTAGCCAGGATGGTCTCGATCTCCTGACCTCGTGATCCACCCGCCTCTGCCTCCCAAAGTGCTGGCATTACGGGCGTGAGCCACCACGCCCTGCCTAGACCAACATTTATTTGAGAAGGGAAGCACCTGTTCTTCCCACGAAAGTGGCAGTAGGACATCAACAGTGCACAGCTGAATTGGGATGAGGGGCCAAGACAAAGCAGAAATCTGCTGCAGAGAGCAGGAAAGATAAAGGATATTCTGCAGCAGGATCTGGGCAAGTGGCACTCATCCATATCCTTTGCATTGCAAAGAGAGGAGCTACTTCCTTCCTTTTTATTTTCCAGTTTATTGGTGGCTCTTAGAACCTCTGAGAACTAACTGATTTTGACCTCTTAACAGTTGCCTTTCAACTACCATTCATCCACTGCAAGCCTACTGTGTAACAGGCCCTTTTTAGCCATTTCAGATATTATTGTCTCTTGCCCAGCTTCAAGTGACTCTCTTAGGGAGGGATTAGCCTCACCTCACTAGTATGGAAATGGAGACTTGGAGTAATCAAGTGACTTGCTCTGAATTACACAGCTGGGAAGTGGTGAAGCTGGAATTCAACTCAAGTTATGTCTAGATCTAAAACTCATGCTCTTTTCTATGCTCAAAGCTGCATTTCAAAATTGAACTTTAGCATGGAGTCTATGATGACTGGCTCATGTCTCTCCACCCAGCACCTAGCCCAAGGCCAAGCACAGAGAAGGCTCA
The DNA here is from genome assembly GCF_000001405.40 of Homo sapiens. Lineage (NCBI taxonomy): Eukaryota > Metazoa > Chordata > Mammalia > Primates > Hominidae > Homo > Homo sapiens. Next base: position 37,114,924 of record NC_000009.12, on the reverse strand, counting down.
CAGTGGACACTTTTGGAATGAGTAGATTTTGTATGGAATGGTTGGTAAATGAAGGCCTGGGCATGGTGTGAACAGTGTTATGGGACAGCAGAGGAGGGGGTGGTGGCTGATTAGGGGACATGGGGAAGCCTCTGCAGAGGAACAGAATTGAGTGAGGCCTGGAGAAATAAGTAGTCAGACAAAGACGGACAATTCAGCATTCTCACAGCAAAGACCACTAACAGGCAATTCACAGAACAAGAAACCCAAAGGCCGTGAATAGGTGCTCTGCATCACTAACAGTCAGAAAAATGCAAATTATCTCATGCACAGTAGATGAGAATACAAACTGGAAAAGTGTGTTAGGAGAGCTATTTAATAGCATCTATCGCTATTATGAGGTATGTTCTTAAATGTATGTACAAACATTGTGATAGAAAAAAATGGAAACAAATATTCATTAGTAGGGAACGATCTAAACAAGGACATACTTATACTATTAAAAAAAATGCCACTTTTGGCCTGGCACAGTGGCTCACACCTGTAATCCTAGCACTTTGGTAGGCTAAGGAAGGCAGACTTCTTGAGCCCAGAAGTTCCAGACCAGCCTGGGTAACATGGCGAAACCCTGTCTCAACAAAAATACAAAAATTAGCTGGGAATGGTGATATGCATCAGTAGTCCCAGCTACTCGGGAGGCTGAGGTGGGAGGATCACTTGAGCCCAGTAGGTGGAGACCAGCCTGGCCAACATGGCAAAACCCCCGTCTACTAAAAATACAGAAATTAGCCGTGCACGGTGGCACACGCCTGTAGACGCAGCTTCAACAAAAAGATATAGAAAGATTCACAAAGACATACAGTTCAGTGAAAAAAGGTACATTGCAGAGCAGTAGGTGTATTGTGAAATCTTTTTTTTATTTTTTTATTTTTTGTGACAGAGTCTCACTCTGTTGCCCAGGCTGGAGTGAAATGGCATGATCTCAGCTCACTGCAACCTCCACCTCCCCGGCTCAAGTGATTCTCCTGCCTCAGCTTCCCAAGTAGCAGGTACTACAGGCACCTGCAACCACGCCCAGTTAATTTTTGTATTTTTAGTAAAGACAGGGTTTCACCATGTTGGCCAGGCTGGTCTTGAACTCCTGGCCTCAAGTGATCCACCCACCCCAGCCACCCAAAGTGCTGGGATTACAGGCAGGAGCCACCGAACCCAGCCCATTTTTATGTTTTTAAAGGGTACCTGTGTGTCTGTATGTAGATATGTGTGTACATAGATACATAGACAAAATACTGCATGGATGCCAATTGTTAACAGTGGTTATTTACATCTTAGGAGGGGAGTGGGAGTAAGAGATTGAAGGACTTTCATCTAAACAAAAAAATGTGAGACATTATTCATTGAGAAAAACAGCATGTAACTTCTGTGGTATTCCCATCAAAAGTACATAACTTGAATATAAACATGAGAAAACTATCAAACACATATTGAGGGACATTCTACAAAATACTGGACTTATCTCTCCAAAACTGTCAGTGGCAGGAAATGCAAAGAAAGACCGAGGAGCTGTACCACATTAAAGGAACAATTGGCAACATCCAGATCTAGGTTAGAGGACAGCACTGCATTAACGTTATTTCCTCGATTTTTATATTTACATTATGTAGGAGAACGTCTTGGTTTTATTTTTCAGGTCGAGCACACTGAACTACCTGGAGTAAAGGGGCATCATGTCTGAAACTGATGCTTAAGTGGCTCAGAAAAAAAATTCTGGGAGCTAGAGGGAGAGAGAGACAGAGGAGTGTGGTAAAAAGTTATCATTTGGGGGGTCTGCGTAAAAGGTATATGAGGATTCTTTGTACGGATTTTGCAACTTTTCTCCCAGTCTGAAATTATGTCAAAATATAAAATTAAAAGGCAAAATTAAAAGAATGAGTGAGAGTTTACTAGGTAGAGAAGCAGAAGGATCTTCTGGTAAAGGAACAGGATAAGCAAAAGCATCACAAGTGTGCGAGTCTTCTGTGTTGACAAACAAGCCCTGACTCTGAATATCCAGGACTAGCATGGTGTGGGGAGACGGGGATTAGAGGGATAACGAGCAGCATAACCCACAAATGGACACATTTCCCTGCTACCTAAGATTAGAAGTAAAGACTTTAGGCCTACATTATACCCAGCCTCAAGAGTTGCAAGACATAACATGAGTTCTCATGGCGGCTCAGTCTTTGCATTGGCAGTGTCTCTTCATCCAGTGACTGTGTGGAACAATGGAAACCCGAGAATCATGGCTGAAAGGGACATCTAGTCCAACTCTCTCATTTTGCAGAAGGGACAACTAAGATGCAAAATGAAGAAGAGATTTGCAAGGTCCCAGCAAAGGTTAGTGTTAAAACTGGCCTCTAGTTCCCAGTCCATCATTCTTTCTGTTGCACCAAAGTCTAAATAATAAGGGAGAAGAAATAGAAGGCTAGCAAGGGAAATGACTGAATGTTAAAGTTTGGACGTTTTTTATTTGCCAAAATTACAAACTTAGTGTCTATACAATTTTAAAAGTAAACGATATAGATACCAATGTTATTGTAGAAACTGTCGTCACTGAAGCCAATAGCTTCCAACTGGTAAGTGATATTCAATTCAGGCTCCTAGGTCTGAAGCAGCAATCAAGGTGATTCTCAGGAATTCTCAATGACATTGGTACCCATCTGGATTTGTTGAAAAGTTTAACATCCTTTTGTATTATTCATGATTTTGCAGTTCTTCAAATTGCAAGATGATGGAGAGAGCACACAATTTTCAACCAGGCTATGAAATCGTTCTTGAAAATGTGGACATTCATAGAGATGGCTTTTAATTTTTCTTGGAGACTGCCTTTCCTTATGAAATAATGAAATTTAAAAATATGTATTATAAATTAAACTATATACTTACTATTCTCATTATAATAAAATCCTAGGGATAAGGAACTAGTATTGCAAGGGCACCATTCCCGTTTTTTATTATTATTCCTAGCTGGAATTTTATTCCTCAAGGCTTAGCTCTAAGTGACTATATAATGAATACTGACTGGCAAAACTATTGGGATTCTAATTTAAGAATCATCAGATTCTGCACAAGAAATCTTGAAGCATGTCATCAGTAACATGTGGAGAAGCTGTCTAAAAAGGCATGCCTTTCTTTTAAATGTCCATGAGCCCTGGATCCACAGATTATGAGACATGAAGGATCACGCATGCTCAAACAGGGCTTATTTAGGTGTCATCTATAGAGGGGCTGCTCTCTTCAGCTGCCCGTCCCGGACCCGGGAATTATGTCTACAGTTTTCAGTTTCCACATGTCTTTGCGGCAATGCTACCATGAATTATTTTACTTGGGACTTTAGATTAACCACAAAAGAAACTAATTGAAAATAACTAAGATCATTCTGTCATGTGAGCCACAGTTTACTACAGTCAACTTAAGCACAATTATATATGATAAACTATAGACGTGATGCTTTGTGTTTCAACCATTATTATCCATTGTTTCTTACTCAACTGGTGAAACCATTAGCAATATGGGGCTTTAAAAGGACTGTCTCTGTGATATCCTCTTCCTCTGCCTCCCTTCGGGATCTGATATTCTTCTGTGGTTGACTGACGAGTCTGCATATGGGTGTTGTATTTCTTTTATCAGACCTATTAATTGCAGAAGGTTCTGTCTCCCTATCCCCAATACCTCAAACTTCCTGTTTCCTGTACAGTCTTCAAAAACTCTATCTGCATGGCTCTAGCAATCCCTGTTCTTACTTGCTATGGACAGATCTGTTAAAATCCTGGAACTGCCATACAGTTTCTTCAGAATGTTTGATGTCTCCCTCCAGAGAATGGCTTTTTTCTCATTGTGCTATGCTGTTGCTCTCAGAACTTACCCCCTGGAACTTTCTCTTTTCTGTGCCTATGCTCAGCTGTGGGGGAATAATAAGAGAGGTTTTATTCCTATTTATTATCATGTATGATAGGAATAATAAGAAGGAATAATGAGAATAATGATAGGAATAATGAGAATCGCTTGAATCTGGGAGGCAGAGGTTGCAGTGAGCCAAGATCACGCCACTGTACTCCAGCCTGGGTGACAGAGTGAGACTCTGTCTCCAAAAAAAAAAAAAAGAAAAGAAATCATACATATGTAACCTTCTATGTCTGGCTACTTTCACATAACACAAAAATTTTTGAGGTTCATCCATTGTGGCACATATCAGTACTTCATTCTTTGTTTTTTTTTTTTTTTTGAAACAGTATCTGTTGCTGAGGCTGGAGTGTAGTGATCAAATCATGGCTCACTGCAGCCTCGAACTCCCAGATTCAATCAATCCTCCCACCTTAGCCTCCCAGGTACCTGGAATTATAGACATGCCACCATGTCCAGCTAATTTTTGTACTTTTTGTAGAGATAGGGTTTTGCCATGCTTCCCAAGCTAGTCTCAAACTCTTGGGCTCAAGCAATCTGCCTAACTCAGCCTCCCAAACTGGTGGGATTACAGGCATGACCTACCTCAGTCAGCCATTTCATTCTTTTTAATGGCTGAATAATATTCCATTATATGTATATACCACAATTTGTTTATCCATACATCTACTGACAGGCATTTGGATTGTTTCCACCTTTGGGTTGTTATGAGTAACGCTACTACAAACATTCACAGACAAGTTTCTATGTGAACAAATGTTTTCGTTTCTATTCATATACCTAGAATTATTGGGTCATTATGGTAATCCAATGTTTTACTTTTTGAGGAACCACCAAGCTGTTTTCCACAGTGGCTACATGATTTTACATTCCAAACTGTAATGTACCAGGATTCCTATTTCTTCACATACTTACCAACACTTGTTATTTTCAATTTTTTAAGTTATAGTAATCCTAGTGGGTGTGAAATGGCATTTCATTGTGATTTTGACTTAAATTTCTTTAATGACCAATAAAGTTGAACATTTTAATGTGAATGTAGGCTATTTGTACATTTTCTCTGGAGAACTATCTATTCAAATCCACTATCAATTTTTAAATTGAATTGTTTGTATTTTTGTTGTGGAGTCACAAATTTTTTTTTTTTTTTTTTTTTGAGACAGGGTCTCGCTCTGTCACCTAAGCTGGAGTGCAGTAGTGTGATCTCGGCTCCCCGCAACCTCTGCCTCTGGGGCTCCATCAATCCTCCTACCTCAGCCTCCTGAGTAGCTGAGACTTCAGTTGTGAACCAACACATTCAGCTAATTTTTGTATTTTTTGTAAAGACAGAGTTTTGCCATGTTGCCCAGGCTGATCTCCAACTCCTGGGCTCAAGGGATGAGCCTGCCTCAGCCTCCCAAAGTGCTGGGATTACAGAAGCAAGCCACTGCACCTGGCTGAGCATTTTTTATATATTCTGAATACTAAACCCTTATGAGATATGATTTATAAGTATTTTCTCCCATTCTGTAGGTTACCTTTTCACTTTATTGATAATATCCTTTGATTTGGAAAGGTTTTAATTTTTGTGAAATCTAATTGATGTATTCTTTTGTTGCTTGTGCTTTAGTGTTAGTTCTAAGAATCCATTGCCAAATCCAAGCTCATAAAGATTTACCCCTGCTTTCTTCTAATAGTTTTATACTTTTGGCTCTTATATTTAGGTAATTGATCCATTTCAGTTAATCTTTGTATATGGAGTGAGGTAGGGGTCCAACTTCATTCTTTTGCATGTAGTTTCCCAGTTCCAGCACCATCTTCTGAAGACACTTTTTTTTCCCTATTGAATGTTCTTGGCACCCTTGTTGATAAATCAATTCGCCATAGGTGTTTGGGTTTATTTCTGGACTCTCAACTCTATTCTGTTGATATATATGTCTATCCTTATGCCAGCACCACACTGTTTTGATTATTGTAGCTTTGTAGTACTTTATTTCTCTTTTTCAATATTGTTTTGGCTGTTTAGGGCCTCATGCAATTCTGTGTGAATTTGAGGATCAACCTTTCCATTTACACAAAAATGGCCATTAAAATTGTTATAGGGATTGCATTGAATCTGTAGATCATTTTGGGAGTACTGCCATCTTAACAATATTAAGTTTTCTGATACATAACCATGGAATTTCATTATATTAAATTAGGTCTTTTTAAATTTTATTCAGCAGTTTTATACTTTTCAGTGTGCAAGTCCTTCACCTCCTTGGTTAAATTTACACAAAAATGGCCATTAAAATTTTTATAGGGATTGCGTTGAATCTGTAAGTCATTTTGGGAGTACTGCCATCTTAACAATATTAAGTTTTCTGATACATAACCATGGAATTTCATGTTAAGTTAGGTCTTTTTAAATTTTATTCAGCAGTTTTATACTTTTCAGTGTACATGTCCTTCACCTTTCTTGATGAATGGTCTGATCAAATGCATTCCTGAGAGATGCAAAACTTGCATAAACCATAAAATTCTATATCCCAATCAGAATAAAATTCCTAAGAATTGTATTTGATTCTTCTGGATGCTATTATGAATGGAATTTTTTTTTAGGATTGTTCCTTGGTGATGTACAGAAACACAACTGGTTTTTGTGTGTTGATCTTGTACCCTAGAAATTTGCTAAATCAATTTACTAGATCTAATAGATTTTTTGTGTATTCCTTGGGATTTTCTATATGTAGAGTCCTGTGTTCTGCAACTGTAAATATTTATTTCTTCCTTTCCAATTTGGATGACTTGTGATTCCAAATGATGACAGTGTTTTACTTTTTCTTTCCAAGATGCTCTGGCTAGGACTCCCAGTACCATGTTGAGTAGCAGTGATGAAAGCAGGCATCCTTATATTGTTTCTGATCTTAGGGGGAAAGCTTTCAGTCTATCACCATTAAGTTTGAAAAGCTTCCTTATCTTTTGGTCTTTGGTTGGGGTTGGACAATAGGCAGCATGAGCTAAATTTAGGAGGACAGGAGGGGAATGAAGTCACACCGTTGGTGTGCTGGCTCCCTCTCTGCTGCGTCTCCATGAGTTGATTGCGTTCCTCTACAAAAGACCACAGCTCCTGTCAGGTGACCTTCTTCATACAGCCACTCCCTTCCTTCCTGGCCCTTTTAGGTGTAACTAAAAGGTGAATGCTCCCTGCAATGGCTAGCCCTAGGGTGCCATACCTTGTTGTCTTCCCTGAGTTCTGCCCACCCCTCTGTAAACTGTCCCTTCATGAAACTACTCAATTCTTCATTCAGAATGTACACCTGTTTCCTGCAGAGACTCTAATTCAAAGACTTAACAGTGAGTAAATGGGCACATCTCTCTGGACTGAAGTCAGCCTGCAGTGGTCCAGCAACACTCCAAAGTGAGTGAGGTTTTAACAACCACCTTACAGTCTTTTCTGGCTTTTGAACATATATAAGTCTGTGACTGGGTATGCGGTAGGAGGAGTTTGGTGAGAACAAGGAAGAGAACTTGCTGCTTTTCATGTCAGCTACGTGTACCTTAGAGATGCAACTTGCATAAACTGTAAAATTCTGTATCCCAATCAGAATTGCTGAATCAAAGATTTGGAACTGCAACTTCTTCAAATGGGAAGACAAATATTTCCTCCACCTTTGCTTCTGATTCTGCTCATCATCCATTGTTAGTATCCCAGATTAGAATCTGATTGGGACATGCTGGCTGCTTGAACTTTGGGGCTTATTGCTACCAAATATTCGAGCCCAGCCCAACTTTTGTTTCATAACTGCCTCTACCCCAAGGCCTGATGGAACCCACCTCTTTTGGCCCAAGGAAACTCACATGCTGGCAACATTTGTGTACTGTATTCATTTCCTAGGGCTGCCCACAACAAATTACCAAAAAGTGGGGTGACTTAAAACAGCAAGAATTTCTTTTCTCACAGTTTTGGAGGCTAGAAGTCCGAGATCAAGATGTTGGCAGGTCCATGCTCTCTGATGGCTTTAAGGAAGAACCCTCCCTGCCTCTTCCTGGCTTCTGTAGGTTCTTGGCAATCCTTGGTTTGTAGATGCATCACTCCAACCTCTGCCTCTGTCATCACATGGCTACATCTTCTTCCTGTGTGTCTTATTCTTCCTCCCATGAGGCCATCAGTCATATTGAATTGAGAACCCATCAGGCTGGGCATGGTGGCTTATGCCTGTAATCTCAGCACTTTGGGAGGCAGAGACACATGGATCACCTGAGGTCAGGAGTTCGAGACCAGCCCGGCCAACATGGCAAAACCCCGTCTCTATTAAAAATACAAAAATTAGCTGAGTCTGGTGGCATGTGACTGTAGTCCTGGCTACTTGGGAGGCTGAGGCAGAAGAATCACTTGAACCCGGGAGACAGAGGTTGCAGTCAGCCGAGATCGAGCCACTGCATTCAGGCCTGGGCAACAGAGTGAGACTCTGTCTCAAACAAACAGAAAAAAGGATCCATCATATCTTAACTGATATCTGCAATGACCCTGTTTCCAAATAAGGTCATATTCTGAGATACTAGCATAAGGATTTCAACATTCCCTTGGAGGGACACAATTCAACTCATAGCAATATATATTTATCATTTGCAAGGACTTGCTTCTCCCTGTCTGACTCATTCCACTACTAGAAGAGAAAATCCTACTTATAAAATAGAAGGTTAGAGGCTGGGCGCAGTGGCTCACACCTGTAATCCCAGCAATTTGGGAGGCTAAGGCTGGTGGATCACGAGATCAGGAGTTCAAGGCCAGCCTGGCCAAGATGGTGAAACCCCGTCTCTACTAAAACTACAAAAATTAGCAGGGCATAGTGGCAGGCGCCTGTAATCCCAGCTACTCAGTAGGCAGAGACAGGAGAATGGCTTGAACCTGGGCGGCAGAGGTTGTAGTGAGCTGAGATGACGCCACTGCACTCCGGTCTGGGTGACAGAGTGAGACTCCATCTCAAAAAATAAATAAATAAAATAAAAATAAAATAAAATATAAGGTTAGAACATTTTATTGAAGGAAAGCAATAGGTGAGCAGAAAATCAAGGGCCCTCACTCAACTAAAAGTCAAAGCATGGGACTATAGTGCCAGGTATGACATAATTTTCCTGTGTGAAGTTTCAAACCACTTAATCTCTGTGCACTTTGGTTTCCTCATCTGTAAAATGAGGAAAAAGACTTAGTAACTGCCAAGGCAGGTCCTGTTAAGCTCCCAAATTCTAAGATTCTTTGACATACACATCTATTGCTAGTAGATTTTTTGCAAGGGATATTGTGAGCTTGCTTAGTGTTACCTCAGACTGCCTATGCTCAAGGTCTCTCTCAGTCCATTTTCAATTACTCTCCTGTTGTCTCTGTGATAGTTTGGTTTATTTGAAAACATCTGGAGGATTCACTAGCCTTAATTCCAAGTATGAAATGTAAAGGCTCCATTTAAAGCTTCATAATTGGACCCAGATGTTTCTTCTGATGCTATTAAATCTTCTCATCTAATCTTGACTCCAGAAATATTATGGGGTTTCCTCTCAAGGAGACTCAGAAGCATGCACGGGGGTCAGAGGGGAAGGAGAATAATGGGAAGATTTCGAGTCATGACGTATGATCTCCCTTATTATTCCACCTGTGAAATTGGCTCCCATACTTCCTCCCTGACTTATCTGTAGCACTGACTCCTCCAGGGGAGGTGCTGTCTTATTCATCTCTGAGTGCACACAAGCATATGCGTTTGGCCCCAAAATAGGACCTGGCTCAGCCTGTGTGGCAGGCAAAAAGGGAGGCAGGAAGGCAGAGAGGTAATTTACAGAGAAGTTTCATCACTGCTCTATTTTCACCCCACCCTCCTCCTCTGATCCCCTAAACTCAGATCCTCAGATCCATGAACTGATCCTCCTTTTCAAAAAATTGTGGTAGGCCAGGCATAGTGGCTCACGCCTGTAATCCCAGCACTTTGGGAGGCTGAGGTGGGCCGATCACCTGAAGTCAGGAGTTCAAGACCGGCCTGGCCAACATGGTGTAACCCCATCTCTACTAAAAATACAAAAAGTTAGCCGGGTGTGATGGTGGGTGCCTGTAATCCCAACTACTCAGGAGGCTGAGGCAGGAGAATTGCTTGAACCCAGAAGGCAGAGGTTCCAGTGAGCTGAAATGGAGCACCATTTTACTCCAGCATGGGCAACAAGAGTGAAACTCCATCTCAAAGGGGAGGAGGTTGTTGTTTATATGTAATTAAGAGAATGAGAAAAGTTTGCATGAGTGACTCTTTGAATCTTGACATAGGAGTGAGTGTTCTCTGCAGAAACCAGGATCAGGCTGAAGCACACCAGCCAGGAGGCTCTGCAAGAGCCATGGCAGAGGCATGACTCAGCCTTGTGAGTTTGTGAAACTGCAAGTGAGCTGGCCTGACTGGAGCACAGCATGTTGGGGAATGGAGGGAGAGAGGAAAACACTGTGAAAGAATAGACTTACTGGGAAGCTATAGAGGAAGGTTTGGGTCTGGTCACAAAGTCCAGGTATGGTAGATAAGGAACAGGATTTTATCCTCAGGACAATCAAAACCCATGGAAGGTTTTAAGAAGAGTAATGTGGTCAATTACATGTTTTATACACCCTTTCTAGTGGCTAGTGTGGGGAAGGTGAGACTAGATGTTAGAGGCCAGTTAGGAGACTATTGCCTGAGACCAGGTGAGGGGTAACACAGTTTTGGTGGGATAGGGGCAGCATTGTGCCTCAGCTGGCTCAGATTGGCTCATGAGAGCTGATTGTCAAATTTTAAGGAATTCTCCAAGCTGCTGGTTAAACCCATTCATTCTTAAAAATTAAATTATATGAACTTACAATTAGCTGAGTGTGGTGGTACGTGCCTGTAGTCCCAGCTACTTGGGAGGCTGAGGCAGAAGAATCACACTTACAATTAAAGAAATATTTTCATATGGTAACAATATTTAAAATTCATCATTTCCTAATTGTGTTTTTTTGGGTTTTTGTTTGTTTGTTTTCTTATTTGTTTTTTAGCTCTGTTGCCCAGGCTGGAGTGCAGTGGCACAATCATAGCTCACTTTAAGTTCAAACTCCCAGGCTGAAGTGATCTTCCCACCTCAGCCTCCTGAGAGAGTAGAACTACAGGTGTGCACCACCAGGCCTGCTATTTTAAATTTTTTGTAGAGATGGGTTTCCCTATGTTGCCCAGGCAGTCTCGCACTCCTGGGCTCAAGCAATCCTCCTACCTCAGCCTCCCAAAGTGCTGGGATTACAGGCATCAACCAGCACACCCAGCTCTTAATTGTTGTACTATTGTCTTAGTTCTTAAGGCAATTTACCTCTAGTTGATCTGTATGGCGGAAACACGATATAATGGTGTGCTGCTGCACACCTCTTCCCAACATGATGTTCAATGCCATCATGGTGGTAATTGTGGAAACTCAAAACAGAGATAAGTAACCCCTAGATATGGTTGGCTTAGATTTGGGATTGTATGTATTGTTTAAAAATATATGCATTAACTTTTCTTTACACAACCACTCTTTCATTATGATTTGACATCTTCTCTCTTCCTTTGTCCCTCTTTTTTTTTTTTTTTTTTTGAGATAGAGTTTTTGCTCATTGCCCAGGCTGGAGTGCAATGGCACATTCTCAGCTCATCACAACCTCTGCCACCCAGGTTCAAGCGATTCTCCTGCCTTAGCCTCTTGAGTAGCAGGGATTACAGACACCCACCACCACGCCTGGCTAATTTTTTTTTTTTGTAATTTTTAGTGGAGACAGGGGTTTCACCATGTTGGCCAGGCTGGTCTCGAACTCCTGACATCAGGTGATCCACCCGCCTCGGCCTCCCAAAGTGCTGAGATTACAGGCGTGAGCCACCACACCCAGCCCTTTCCTTCCTTTTCTTATGCGTTCCCTCTCCCCTCCCACTTGTTAAGACCACTCTCCCTTTAGGAATTCACATTCCTGTTGATATCTCATCAAAGAAGCACATGAATAGCTGACATTATGTAATGCTTTCACATTGGGATTCCCAAGATATTACCCCACCCCAATTCAGAATAAGTTGTCAGAGCATAAAATTGGTATTTTTACATATTCTTAATGTACAGATGTCAGTCTGAAAACCATTGACTACTATTATGATTACATTCTTTGAATTATTTTCTTTGTATGCCAAGATTTCTTCTTGTAATTTCTTTTCTTTTGGGGGTTTCAAAGAGGGAAGACAAAACTTTAATAATCCAGTTTACTGATGCTGCCAAAACGAAAAAGTAAACATTTAAGTCTCTGACCACTTTTGGCAATGAAACTTCTGGCACAGGAGAAAAGATGTAACAAGAAAGACCAGATGCAAACTGGAAATACAATCAGTGGCCCACCGGATGGTGCCAGATTCCTCAGCCTGTTCCAGATCAAATATGCCTGCAGTTTACAAGTTTGTTACTCTGTATTAATCACATAAATGAATAGCCTAGGCTTATGGGAGGAACGGTGTGCCTAAAAAATAACATTGTGGAAAATACACAAGATAAGAACCAGAAGAGATTCAGAGACACCCTGATCCATCCTCTATGTATTCAGTGATGCAGGAGTGAGGGGGAGAATATATTCTAGATAAGGTCAAGGAAGGTCTCCCTGAGGAGATGACCTTAAGTGGAGACTTGGAGAAGGAGCTGGGCATGCAGAAAGCCAGAGGGTAGAACATTCCAGGCAGAAGGAATAACATGAACTAAGGGTCTGAGAAAATAACAATTCCTAACATTTATTTAACACTTACTATGGGCCTGGCACTATTCTAAACACATTACATATATTACCTCACATATTCTTTTTTTTTTTTTTTTCCAGAGACTGGGTCTCACTCTGTCACCCAGACTGGAGTGCAGTGGCATGATCATAGTTCACTGTAACCTCAAACTCCTGGGTTCAAGCGATCCTTTCGTCTTGGCCTCTCAAAGCACTGAGATTACATGTGTGAGCCACGGAGCCCAGCCTACCTCATGTGTTCTTCATAGCAGCTCTATGAGGCAGAGAATATCATTGTCTCCATTCTATAGGTGGGGAAATGAAGCACACCACAGTTAGGTAACCTCCCCAAGGCTGAATAGCTAGTAAGTGCGAGAGCTGGGATTCTAACCCAGCAGTACAATTCCAGAGTCCACATGCTTAACCATTTTGCCATGCTGACAAAGTTGGGGCTGAACCCCTAGTCTCCTGACTTTTACGTCAATGCCTATCCCAGTCAAATACATGTATATAGGTACTTATACACACTCCCAACTTTCCCTCTCAGGAGTCTATATAAACAAGGGACATCTGAAGGTGCCTTCTCTAATCAAGTTGCTAGAATTGAGATGCCCATGGGGAATCTGTGTTGGCACTCCACCCTGAGGGGCACGGTCACCCTGAAGACATAGGCTTCACGTCTCACGTGGAAATTTTCTAGGTGTATCCCCCAGTGCAGGCAGCCCTGGGAAAACTGGTTGAAGATGGTGGCAAGGACAGAATTGATGGCTCATTGACAGTCTATCTGGGGCCTGAGATGAAAGCCCAGGGCTATGGCAGATTCAGCTCAGTGATATGTGGTCAGAGTCCAGGCCATCCCAAGGAGGCAGGTCATGGACCATGGTTGTCATGGAAAACATCCAGAACAGGCCAGAGCTCCACAAGGAAGGACTTGAGCTAAATTGGCAAGTTGTTAAGAGCTCCAGGTTGCTTGAGACCCATACTGCCTCCTCTCTGCCTTTGACTTCATTCATTCATTTGTATGTTTAATTATTTATTATTTCATCTGGTCATTTGTTCATTCAGCAAGTGTTTACTCTGTATCTTCCACATGCTATTCCCCTGCTAGGCAGTGAGATACAAAGGCAAAGAAGACGAAGTCCCTACTCTAGAGGGGCTCAAAGTCTAGAGAGATGGGAGAGGGCATGGTTCAGAGAATTCCTGGGGAAGGCAACACTGAATAGAATCTCTCTGGAAAGAGTAGAGAGGGAAGACCAATGAAGACAAAGGAAACAGCAAGTGCAAAGCTACACTGACATGAGGGAGGCTGGCTCAGCTGGGTACATGCAAATCTTGCTCATACACCATAAAACCTGAATATGGAGGGTGTGAGTATCAAGGGTATAGAGCAAAGCCAGAAAGAGAAATGTGCTACCCCGCCTTTGTTACAAGGCAGTGGTTAAGCAATACAGGAGAAAGCGGAGAGGATGTAGGCCTGGGGATCTGGAGACTGGGGTCCAACCTGAGCTCTGTGCTAATTCAGTAGGTGACCTTGGGCAGGTCTCTTCTGCTCTCTTGGGCAGGTCTCTTTGACCTTCTGTAAAATGACGGAATAGGATTATGATGATGTCTTAGGGACTCTCTTCCACCTCTATCATTCTGTGATTCTAAATCCCTTTATAACAAACTCTAGGAGAGGAGCTTTCCTCTTGCAAATGGAGTGTAAAGTTAATCCTGCCTGTGCTGATGCTAATGTGTGTGTGTGTGGTTTATCCCACTTCATTAAACCCTGACTCGCCACAGAGCAATGCATGAGGCAGCCCAGGCAGGTAAATACTAAAGTGTTGCTGAACTGGGTCTGTTAGTGGAAAATGATTTCCCCAAACTTTTTCTCAGGTTTATCAACACAAAGCCTATAACCCCTATTTTCCATACAGTTACCTTGCCACATGTGCAGATTTAGGCCCAGTCACAGGGTATGGCAAGTCGGGTCCTCATACCTTATTTATGTGGGCATCCTCCACACCTCTCACCGTGCTGCCAGCAACATCATCATTTTCCATATGAAAAAACTGAAGCTCAGACAGGTTAGGCCACTTGGTAGGCGAGGCACAGCCTTATGTGATGTGTGACCTACATAGTGAGGGTAATGCTTCTGTTGACTGAATACTCGCCAAGGAGTGAAGAAAAGGCAAGCTCTGAGGTAAAGTTCCTATGTGAAAAACTTCCCCAAGGTTCTTGCCTTTTGTAAAGATCTTACAGGTTCCAAGTCACTCTTTTTTTTTTGAGACATGGTCTCACTATGTGGCCTACGCTGGAGTGGAGTGGTGAGATCTTGACTTACTGAAGCCTCAACCTCCCAGGGTAAGGTGATCCTCCTGCCTCAGCCTCCAAAGTAGCTGGAACTACAGGCACTCACCAGCATGCCCAGCCAATTTTTGTATTTTTTGTAGACACAGGTTTTTACCATGTTTGCCAGGCTGGTCTCAAACACCTGGGCTCCAGTGACTGTCCTGCTTCATCCTCACAAAGTGCTGGGACTACAGATGTGAACCACCATGCCCAGCCACTTTTTCTAAAAGTGGCTAAAAGAGAACACTCATTCTAGGTTGTCTCTTGAAAACAAACAGCAATCGTCTTGGACTCCCTCAATTCTTCTTTTATTGTGAAGTATAGTGCAGATACTGAATATGCACAAAGCATATGTATATACTTTAATGAGTAATTAAAAGTGAATGCTAATAACCCCCATCCTAGCAAGTATATAGAATATAATGTTGGTTGAAAGAAGCAAGACACAGGCCAGGCACAGTGGCTCACGCCTGTAATCCCAGCACTTTGGGAGGCCGAGGTCTACAGATCACTTGATGCAGGAGTTCGAGACCAACCTGGCCAAATGGTGAAACCCTGTCTCAACTAAAAATAGGAAAATTAGCTGGCCATGGTGGCACGCACCTGTAATTCCAGCGACTCAGGAGGCTAAGGCATGAGAATCGCTTGAACCCGGGAGGTGGAGGTTCTAGTGAGCCAAGGTCGCACTACTGCACTCTAGCTTGGAGGACAGAGTGAAACTGTGTCTGGAAATTAAAAAAAAAAAAGAAAAAAAAAAGGCAGCATGACACAGTGAATACATCCAGTATAATCCCATCCATATGAAGTTAGTAAAACTAATAGGCTCAACGTTTGGCAGAAGTGGCCCACTCTTTGCATGGTCCTATGCCGTATCTAGACCTGACAAGACTTTGTCTTCTTTCACCTCACTGAGGATGAACCCTCTGAGGACAGAGGCATTGAATGTTACAGCTGGAAAGAAGCTGATATGACATTTGTTCACTCAATCATTCATTCATTTCTCAGATACTTTTGGGGATTTACTGTGTAGGGGATCTCTGGGCTGGGAATGTGGGGGATAAGGTATCGGGGATCTTTCATAGATCTTGTCTTGGAGGAACAGGAAAAGCTGAAATGAGTTGAGTCCTAAATGGAGGAAAGGAGTGAGGGTTGAGGAAGTGCCTGGCTCTGGGCCAGAACACACCCTCAGCCCCTCTGAAAGAGGTGGAGGGGTGGGACCCACCGAAGGTGCAAGGCAGAAGAGACTCCCTGGGCCTCAGGAAGAATGGGTAGGCTACCGCAGATGAACCCAACCAGTCTCACTGACCAGTCTCTGTATTCAGTCACCTAAGGGTGGTTTATGTGCAAACAATGAATCTCAAAGGAATCAGAATTAATTAGGCTGCAGAATGTGAGAGGAAGGGCCCTGACACTGCCTGCTCCAGTGCCTTTACTTTGTGGATGAAGATACTAAGGTCCAGAGTGAAGTGGCTTTTCCAGTGTCCCCTGGATAGCTTGAGGGGAGCCCTAGGACTCGAATCCAGCTTCCTACTTCCCTTACCAGCGTTCTTCCACCCAGACACACAACGGTATTTTCCAAGATGAGTTTTTAGAATAATCAGTTTTGATGGTCATGAAATCTGGAAAAGATCTTAGTGGTAATCTGTCTAGTCCAGAGGGTCCCAAACCTGGTTGATCATCAAATCACATGAGAAATTTATTTTTAAAAATAGAAACTCTGGGAGCCCCAACCCTCAGAGACTGGGGTTTTGGGGTCTAGTAGGACTGGAATTTAGTAGGACAGGTTGGCCATGTGTTTTGTTTGCATTTTTTTTTTTTTGAGACAGAATCTCGCTGTCGCCCAGGCAGGAATGCAGTGGTGTGATCTCGGCTCACTGCAACCTCTGCCTCCCGGGCCCAAGCGATTCTTGTGCCCCTGAGTAGCTGGAATTACAGTGTGCCACTGCACCCAGCTAATTTTTGTATTTTTAGTGGAGACAGGATTTCACTATGTTGGCCAGGAGGGTATCAAACTCCTGACCTCGTGATCCGCCTGCCTCAAGCCTCCCAAAGTGCTGGGATTACAGGGGTGAGCCACCACGCCCGGCCTCCACATGTATTTTTTAAAGCTCTCACTTGCCACCCTCCACCCTCTGCTGATTCTGATGATTAGTAGGTAGGACAATCACAGACCTAGCCGACTCTGTCCAGTTGAGAGGAAGAAACTGAGGCCCAGATTAGGTGAGGTAGAGTGACTGTACAAGGTCACGTTATTCCACCACAAATTCTTCTATTGTCCAGTATAGAATTGAGCCAGCCTGCATATCTAAGAGCCTTGATATGTTAAGAGTGTTTTCTCCCAATATGGTTCTTTCAGTGAACACATTTCATTTTTTGAAGCAGGTTAAAAGATTCCCAGCCACACTGCAAGGCACTCAGATTTGTGCAATATTTACAGTGACTTTGTGGTTCACTAAACAAATTCACCTAAGCAACATGAAAGAAATCATCTTGTTTACAGTGAGATCCTGACAAAAATATGTGTAGGAAAGACAGAAAAACACACATAAACCTGGATTGCTGGGTGGGACATGATTTGCTGCCACATTCAATTTTTCTCATTAGAACTTGTTTTATTTGAGCATGACTCAGTACCCCATGTAAATGCGAGGTTGTTAATCTTATTACTATATGGAAAACAAATTAATTAGTATGCATGCTTTTGACATGAGTTTTTAGGTTGGTGTTGGAAAGATTAGGAAAATACACTCATTACTCCAAATGATATCTGATAATACACGTCTGACTTCCACTTTAAGATCTGTTCCAATATATGGGCAACAAATATAGCTAATAAAAATCAAGCTTTTGTGTTCAGCATCTAAATGTTCATGTTGACCAGATTCACACATGAATAACTGCTTGTCACTGTCCATCATCCAGACTCACCTGCAGCAGACAGCTTCTCAGTTCTCAGGTTTGAGCTCATGTCCAATATCCAAAACCAGCTGAGATGATCTCTTTTCTCTTCTTGCCTACTACATTTTATCTCTCTCTCTCCATTTTTTTTTTTTTTTTTTTTTGAGACAGTCTTGCTCTGTCGCCCCACACTGGAGTGCAGTGGTGTGATCTTGGCTCACTGTAACCTCCGCCTCCCAGGTTCAGGTGATCCTCATGCTTCAGCCACTGGAGTAGCTGCAATTACAGACGTGCACCACCACGCCTGGCTAATTTTTGTATTTTTAGGATTCACCATGTTGCCCAGGCTGGTCTTCACACTCCTGAGCTCAAGTGATGCACCCACCTCTGCTTCTCAAAATGTTGAAATTACAGGCATGAGCCACTGTTTCCAGCCAAACTTTGTATCTCTTCCCAGTGCACCTGCTCCCTTCTTTCAGCAGCCATAATGAACACACCTCATTTTTCCAGGAGACTATAAGCTCCCTGAGGGTAGAGACTATATTCCAATTAGAGATTCAAATACATATTGATCAGAATACCCCACTGCAGGAAAAATATATGAAGAACAACAAGGAAGCCCTTAAAGTACCAGTGTGGAACAATCACCAAGATATACTGTTAAGTGTACACATACCTCTGCAAGTATACAGTGACACTGATTACCAGGTAAAAAATAAGTAAATAAATAAATAAACAACACATGCTAAAAGTAAAATCTAATAAATAGGATATATTTCCTCAAAGTAAAAATAAACAAACAAGCCCAACCAAATACCCACAAAACACTAAAACTAAATAATAAAAAATTGTCATTTTGGGTAGCAGACTATGGCAAATCCTTTAATTTAAAAAAATCTGTTTCACATTAACATATTGTTACCCAGACTATTTCACCAGGGATCTCCAAAAGAAACATAAGGTATCCAGTGTTTCTCAAATGGTTCTCACTGCTTTTAAAAACTGTTCACTTAAGGACCAGGCGCAGTGGCTCACGCCTGTAATCCCAGCACTCTGGGAGGCTAAGGCAGGCGGATTGCTTGAGCTCAGGAGCTGAGAGCAGAGCCTAGGAAAGCAGTTCAAGACCAGCCTGGACTACATGGTGAAACCCCATCTCTACCAAAATGCAAAACATTAGCTGGACTTGGTGCCATTTTCCTGTAGTCCCAGCTACTCAGGAGTCTGAGATGGGAGGATCGCTTGAGCCTGGGAGGTGAGGTTGCAGTAAGCCATGACTGCCACTGCACTCCAGCCTGGGCGACAGAGTGAGACCCCATTTCAAAAAAAAAAAAAAAGAAAAGAAAAAATGCTCATTTTTGAATATCTCACAATATACAAGTTGCCCAATTATATGCTCTAGGCAACATTTTTAAAGTAGTTTTTTTTCATTATTTATTTATTTGTTTGTTTTTGAGACAGGGTCTCTGTCACCCAGGCTGGAGTGCAATGGTGCAAACATGGCTCATGGCAGCCTCAACCTCCTGGGCTCAAGTTATTCTCTTGACTCAGCCCCCCAAGTAACTGGGACTACAGGCATGCACCATCACACCCTGCTATTTTTGTGTTTTTGTAGAGACAGGGTTTCACCATTTTGCCCAGGCTTGTCTCAGCTCTTCAGCTCAAGCACATCCACCTGCTTTGGCCTCCCAAAGTGCTGGGATTACAGGTGTGAGTCATGGTACCCGGCCTAGGCACCATTTTAAACCAGAATGTAGATCCTAACTCTGCTGTCAGCTCCGTGAATGAACCTGGAAAAATCCTTTCTCTTCTTTGGGACTGTTTCTCCATCTCCATTCTCCCAGTAGAATGAGATTATCTCTGATGTTCCCTCCAGCTCTGAAAGTCACAGATTCTCTGGCAAACAAAATATATCAAAAGTCTCCTCCAAAGTAAGCCCATGATTTGAGTAGCAATTGGAGGCTGGAAGGCCTATGAGGTCTGCTGAAAAAAAGTTACAAATGTACCTGATGTGAACATGCTTTCCTAGCTTCAAAACCCAGAAGACCTTCCAGGAGGTTATAAGGAACCAATGCATCATCTTTGGTTCACAACAGTTGATGATATTACCAAAGTCTCAGCACTTCCACTTACTCACTGTCCAGCCTATTGGGAAAAACCCTGATTTGAGACTCAGTTTCCCCAGCTATAAAATGGGTATAATAATTGCTTTGCCTCATTCCCAGATTCTTGGTATAGGCACTTAATTTATGACAGCAACAGAGATAAGAGAATAGAGAGCCTGCGACAGGCTTGTCAAGCCATTTGTCAAAATGAAGTAAAAACATTGCTTATCAAGTTACATTTCATTTGTTGGTAGATTTCCCTTGGTTGTGGCAAGAGCATGGTATGAGACTATCCTCCTCATCCATTACTAGAGGCAAAGTAAATGTATAAAATCATTTGGCAAAGCGATTTGCCCATATATATCAAGAGCCATGCAAGCATTCAGGCCCTTTGACCCAGCAAAATCTAGATCTGGGGATTTTAAAGAAATGGCAAAAATAGGAGAATGTGATATGTATGAAGACATGCACTTTGGGATTATCTGTGATAGTGAAAAACGGGAGTCCTTCTAAATATATAATACTAGGGAATGATATATCCACTTAAAAGAGTATTAAGCAGCCATTAAAATATTAAAACATTTATTTTTAAATGATAATCATGAAAACCTGTGGCATTATAATGATAAACTGTCAGGTGTGAAAGCCGAATGAATGCGAGGCTGTAACTACACTCATAAATCACCTATGTAAATTTTGCCTGAAGTAAGAGGAACACTGAACAGTTCATTTGTTAGGGTGGTAGGATTATGGATAATTTTCTTTCCTTTTAATTTCCCTTATTGTTGTAACATTGCAAACTAAATAAAAATCTGGGAAAAAATACAATGAAGGCAACAGACAGGTACATTGTGTTGTATCCTTCGTAAATCCTTTCACTGAAGAACGGGATTAAATGTGCCTTACCATAGCAAATCATAAAATAAGACTCACATTTTGCATTTCCTCTAGACCCTCCTACCCTTCTGAGAATAAATTAAAATATAAACACTAGAGTTGAGTTTTTAAAATCAGGATTATCTCAGCCTGGCCACATGGCAAAACCCCGTCTCTACTAAAATTACAAAACTTAGCCAGGCGTGTTGGTGGGCGCCTATAGTCCCAGCTACTTGGGAGGCTGAGGCAGGAAAATCGTTTGAACCCGGGAAGCAGAGGTTGCAGTGAGCTGAGACTGGGACACTGCACTCCAGCCTGGGCAATAGAGCTAGAGTCCGTCTCAAAATAAATTAATTAATTTTAATTAAAAAAATAAAATAAAATCCAGGATTCTCATTATTCTATTTAAAACATATAAGGAGAGAAAATACACTTTTTTCTTCTGGATTAAGTTTCCCTGGCCAAGTTCCGTATGTCTGTTCTTCCCTATTGGCAGGTCATGGGTCCCCATTCCTACCACAGGAGTTTATCAACCTGTTGACTTTGCTCAGCTATCGCACAGATGGTGGTGAAATCATTAGATTGAAGGAAACCCAACAGTTCTTGCTTTGTGAAATGAGCATGCTATTTCTGGCCAGGCTACAAGCTCGGTCTGGTATCAGGATCTCCTGAGATGATGTGCAGGAAGGCACAGAAGTGCTTTGCAAATCCTCCAAAGCTGTGACCATCTGGATCTTTTTTCTTTAGGAGTCAATGTAACATAATGGAGGACTACAGGGATAGAGTGGACTTAGGGGAGTGGGGAGACGGGGCCTGGGTTTTAGGCAACCCGAAAGTGTTAGTGGTCAAACGATTTGTGTGGAAAATCAGACTGGCTTTCAAATTCCAGCTCTGCCATCTCCTAACTGTGTGATCCTGGGCAACTTCCCAGTGTCTGAGCCTCAGAGTTGAGGCTTCATCTGTGAAACCGGAGTACTAACAAAACCTGCTGCACAGGTTTGTTTTGAGGATGGAATATGATCATGTATGCAAAGCACAGTGCCCAGTGATGTCCAAGAGATGTCCCTTTTCTCATTAGTCTTGCCCCTCCCATGAACTCACTGTAGAACCTTTGGCAATTCTATTTCCTTCTCTGGGCCTTAGTGTCTCCATCTGCAAAATGGGAGAAGGGGAGGAGTCAACTGTCTCCCAGGGCTGTTTTAGCATATGGGCCTGTGGTTTCACAGTGGTGGTTGTAGCAATATCCTAAAGGCAAAATCCTATCTCTACAAAAAATACAAAAATTAACTGGGTATGGTGGCACATGTCTATAGTTCCAGCTATTTGAGAGGATTGCTTCCGCCTGGGGTCAAAGCTGCAGTGAACCATGATCACACCATTGCTCTCCAGCCTGGGCAACAGAGTGAGAGACCTCGTCTCAAAAGAAAAACAACAAACAAACAAACCAAAAACAGAAAAAACCATAGTGGAAGGTATAAGCCCATGTTTGCCACAATGATCATGAACTTATCATGTAGTTATGAAGACTTTTATCAAAATATTTGCCTATTATGTTAAGTCTACTCATTCTCTCATTTTAGCTTTATAACTTTAATGGAAAAAAATGTATTTTTTACCAATAAAGTAATTAAGTTACCCAAAATCAAAGCTAACTACTGCAGAATTCTAACAGACCCAACAACAACCACTAATTGAGAACCTATGACCATTACACCTCATTCAGAAGTGACCTTTTAAACCGATATTTGAGAGATAAGTAGGTGTCAGCCAGGCAAGTTGGAAATTAACTCACACAGGGGGAAAAAACCTGCATATGTGAAGACCCAGATCAAATAAAATATATATTTGAAAACCTAAAATTCAAATAGGTAACCCACTCTACTCAAATTTTAATTAGTTATCAAGTCTTGGTTGAGTGCCTAATAAACGTCAGGAATTCAGCAACTGCCTCTAGATGAGTTCTCCATCCTGTTAAATTGTATCTAAAACTGTTATGTACATGTTTTTGGGAGAAAAAGGATTTGACATAAAACAGTTAGAAGACTTACTGCCCTAAGTTGTTGAAGCCATAATTTCATTTCAATTTCAAAAGCCACTTACCTTAAGCCATTATTTCACTTCAAATCATACTATGTAAAGAGCTGTACTCTATACACAAAAACAGAATTCTAATTAAATTTACCTACGATCTGTTAGGTATCCCGTATGTGCCAAATGCTGACAAACTAAAGGGGCTGTGTTCCAAATTATACATATTGAAGGAGCTCTACGATAACATACCACAAGACTCACAAACTAGGAATATGCCATCTTCAACTCTTAAAAATGTTGTATTCTTCCATTTTCAAAACAAATATTCTTTTAAAATCCTGAACCTAGCCAGGCACGGTGGCTCACGCCTGTAATCCCAGCACTTTGGGAGGCTAAGACGGGAGGACTGCTTGAGGTTGGGAGTTCGAGCCCAGCCTGGCCAACATGGTGAAAACCGACTCTACTAAAAACTACTAAAAATACAAAAATTAGCTGGGGGTGGTGATGCATGTCTGTAATCCTAGCTATTTGGGAGGCTGAGGCAGGAGAATTGCTTGAACTCAGGAGACAGAGGTTGCAGTGAGCCGAGATCATGCCACTGCCATCCAGCCTGGGCAACAGAGCGAGACCCCATCTCAAAAAAAAAAAAAAAAAAAAAGTCCTGAGCCTAATAATTTTTTGCTAAACCTAAATCTTCAAAATTATTAAATGAGAAAGAAACATTATGACCAGGAACAAGAACAAAGCATGCTTCTGAAAGTGGAATTAGACTTTTTTATTTGTTTAAAATACATTTTAAGACTGTCAGAAGTGGGCCGGGCGCAGTGGCTCACGCCTGTAATCCCAGCACTTTGGGAGGCCGAGGCGGGCGGATCACAAGGTCAGGAGTTTGAGACCAGCCTGACCAACATGGTGAAACCCCGTCTCTACTAAAAATACAAAAATTAGCTGAGCATGGTGGCGCATGCCTGTAATCCCAGCTACTCAGAAGGCTGAGGCAGGAGAATTGCTTGAACTTGGGAGGCGGAGATTGCAGTGAGCCCAGATTGCACCACTGCACTCCAGCCTGGGCGACAGAGCAAGACTCTGTCTCAAAAAAAAAAAGATTGTCACAAGTATACTACTATTCATCAATCATTTTAAAAGAGCACATAGTATTCCACAACTTATTAAGAAAGAGGGAAGCTGGGCACAGTGGCTCATGCCTGTAATCCCAGCACTTTGGGAGGCCGAGGCACGCGGATCACCTGAGGTCGGGAGTTCGAGACCAGCCTGGCCAACATGGTGAAACCCTATCTCTACTAAAAATACAAAAAATTAGCCAGGCGTGGTGACGAGCACCTGTAATCCCAGCTACTCGGGAGGCTGAGGCAGGAGAATTGCTTGAACCTGGGAGTTAGAGGTTGCAGTGAGCCAAGGTTGCGCCACTGCACTCCAGCCTGGGCAATAAGAGCGAAACTCTGTCTAAAATAAATAAATAAATAAATAAATAAATAAATAAATAAATAAAATAAATTTAAGAAAGAGGGTACAAAGATATACAGTTTTTTGATTATATATATTTTTAAATGTAAGGACCAACCACCAATTTTCTCTTAATGGTTACCCATAAGGGGAAGAGCAGGAACAGGATGGAGACTGGACAGAAGGTTTGCCTTCTCTGAATAGATTTTATTGTGTTTTGCTGATCTGAATTTGGAAATTTATAAACATTTTACATGATTATAAAATTAAATCAAAATTTTAAGAGGTAATTCTAAAAAACAACATATCAAAAGCAAAATGAAACAAATGATCCAAGTTGATGATCTAAAGTTGATGATCTAAAGAGAGAAAATCTGAATTTAATCAAGCTTCTAGATCTAACTACCAACTCACAGGAAATAAGAGGACACTGGAACATGTGAAACAATACTACATAATTCAGACTACAGGAAATTCTAGAAGACAATCTATTTAGTACAACAAATTACAAGGAATTTAATAAAGAAGAGGTAAAAGAGAACCTATAAAGGGTACTTAAGTTATCAAACATTACAGTACATGAATTGAATCAGATTCAAATAATCTGTAAAAAAATTAGGAGCCAATCTAGAAAATCTGAACACCGGGTATATGAGGATAAAAGAATTACTGGTAATTTGTTTAGCTGTGATAATAATTTTTTTAAGAAGAGAATATTTACATTTCAGAAATATGTGTGTCTGTATGCACACACACACACACACACACACACACACACACACAGTCAGCCTCCTATGTCCATGGGTTCAACTGACCTTGGAATGAAAATATTCCACACACAAAAAAAATTGCGTCTGTACTGAACATGTACATTTTTCTTGTTGTTATTCCTTAATACAGTATAACAGTTATTTACATGGCATTTACATTGTATTACGTATTATAAGTGATCTAGGGATGATTTAAATAATACGGGATGTACACAGGTTATATGCAAATAGTCCACCATTTTATATCAGGGACTTGAGCATCCATAGATGTTGGTATCCATAAGTGGTCCTAGAACCAATGCCCCACAGATACTGAGGGACACCTGTGCATGTGTGTAAAGATTGGTCACAATTTGGTAATTGTTGAAGCTGGTTTATGGGACACTGAAGTCAATTATAACATTTTATTTTCATATATATATTTTTGATTTCCACAATAAAAAATGTAGAAGTTAGTAATTACTTCTACAACTAATAATATCTCTTCCCTAACCAAGAAAATAAATAGCTAATTATTCCTCCATAATTCCTATAGCATTTATTGTCTCATGTCATCATTTGGTTGTCTTATATAACAATCCTTCCCACATTTGAGATCCCCCTCAAAAATTATTAAACATGCTGACTTGCTTGGGTGGATCTTTTCTTCAACCAGGAGATCTGCCTTTCTAACATATGAGAATTACAAGTCACTCCTACTGGGGATAATAAAAGAAAGGGAATCAAAAAGGAAAACAATAGAACATGCATAGTTTTTATAAAGAAGGCTTAGGAAAGAGTAAAGGAAGTAAAGGAAAAGAGGCTCAGACCTCAGAAATAAACTCCTACATCCCTCAGTAGAGAGAGCTGAAAGCCATATGTAATAGGCACTGAAAGCCTATGTTTTGGCATGAATTTACTACAGGCAAAGCCACCATCATATATCTATATGTACCGAGGAAGGCTAGACTGTTAAGTGTCACGTAT
This sequence comes from Homo sapiens, assembly GCF_000001405.40. Taxonomy (NCBI): domain Eukaryota; kingdom Metazoa; phylum Chordata; class Mammalia; order Primates; family Hominidae; genus Homo; species Homo sapiens. The sequence continues at coordinate 37,088,846 of NC_000009.12, read as the reverse complement.
ATACGGTCTCAATGGAGCCTCAGGAAGCTATTAAACAACCTCAAATCACAAAATCAGAAAAGTGTTGAACATTTAGAGGAAGAATAGAAAGGAAAAAAAAGCCTCCAAGTTGTGTATTATTTGTCAGTAAAGCAAAACAAATGTGTAAGCCCACTTATATTTAATAATGTCTCACTGAAATTAAAGTAATAGGGGAGAGTCTGAAGTTTCCACAGATAAAGAGAGTGCTGTACTCAAATTTACTACAAAATTAATAATAGTAAATGTAAAATATGTATTTATACAGCCTTTTGCAGACTTATGAACTATCTCAAATTCACGAATCCTATTTTTTAAATACAGTTTTAAGTTTCAACCACTTGTATCACCAGAATTTTGAGACTTAACTCCCATGGTTAAGAGATTTCCAAGCTGTGTTCACACCTGTAGTCCCAGCTACACTGAAAGCTAAGGCGGGAGGACCACATGAGCCCAGGAGTTCCAGACTAGCCTTGCTCTATTTAAAGAGCAAGACTCCACTGCCAAAAAAAAAAAAGAAAAACAAAGAAGAGAATTCCATAAATTACTTGGCTTCTTATATTCCATCTCTTCAGTGAAACAGTACATCACTTAAGGCTAAAACTATGTCTTTTATCACTGTAAGTCCCCAGTACTGCTTACACCCTACACAGAGTAGGTGCTCAATAAATGTTTGATGATTTGGCAATTAATGGGATAGGAGGGAATATTAATATGTGTCAATAAATTACTCTGAATATTATAAATAGGCTTATGAGTATGGAAAAGACCCACCCTCAAGGAATTTGTGATCTTTTCTCTTACATCATACTGCTGTTTTCAATATGCCATAATTTTTCTTTTCTTCAGGGTGGGGTCAGGGAAACAACACAAAATAGCTGTGGATGCTGTTTAACAATCAGCATTTCATAAGCAGTTAAGAATTTCTGTACTTTCACAAAAATGAAAAAATCTCTCTAAAGATTATGTGAGCCCAATCTATGCCCAAATCTTTTTTTTTTTTTAATATAGAGAACTGATTATGTTCACTTGTAACCTGTCATTCCAAAATTCTTCAGGATGTTTAATGTTCAAGTGTCCATATTCCCAGTCCCACTGGATGCCTGGCAGGATGCAACCATCTGAATGAGTGGAAGTATAATGTTTGCACCAGGTATTATATTAGGAGCCTTGAACCCAGAATATGTCTGATTAAGTCTTTTAGCCCAATAATTTGCCACTGCTGCCAAGTCTGGTAATTTTGAAGGAGAAAGTTCAACCATAACGGGGTGATACAGGGCACCCCCGTACTCAAAAAACTTTCAAAGTGCTTTCTAAACAAGTTTCTCTTTCTCCTTGAATACAACGTCAGTCACAACTGATGGCAGTACAATCGATCCATCCATACACTGCTCTAAGAACATCTTGATGGTATAATATGCTGTCATTCATGCTCTACCTGCTACTAGTTTAATTTGGTCAAGTAGCTCTTTCCCTGGAGACTCAAATTCTACTAGACTCAAATTCTATTAGACCAAAGACAAATGATCTCAACCATGGTCTTCACTTAAACCAATCACTGGCCCTGCATTATAACTGAGCAACAAGTTGGCACAATCACCATGTGTTGGTTGCTGGAGAGCTATCATCAGGGTCTTGAATTGCTTCTGAACCTGGAGACTGCTGGCACGGATTCTGTCACTTGACCCCTACTACTATGCCAATGCCAATCAGTAGATCACAACAGTACAGTACAGATGATAGCTCCAAGAATGTAAATTGTGGATCCTTCCCTTTGTGGCTTTGGCCATACAGCATTTTAGTTTTGTTCTTTCCATTAACTGAAGTCATGAGGTATGCCTCCTTGGAAACTCCAACAGTTAAGAGATTCTCATGTATTCCATGAAATAAAAAGCAAAGAAAAATCAAACTTGTCTTAATGAGATGGAAGTGTTGGATCAAACACTGATTGAGCTGTTCTATGTCCTCCACTTCCCCAGTGCCTGGATGTGGTTCATCTGCATCGATGGATACTGTCCAAATTTGCCACTTGGCTCAAAAGACTGCTGCCCAGTGAATGGTAATGCAGATAGAGGCTCAGAGGTATCCATGGGTTCCTCCATGATGAACAATGGTCTTGATTGCTGAAGCGATTGTTTCTGATTGGTTCCTATGCCCAGATCTATTTATGAAAGGAATAATAATGATTAGAGAGTAACAGCACACTTAAATGGGCATCGGTATTGAACATATTGCTTATTAATTGGAAAAGGATTACAACATTATTGGATTAAGGAAACAAAATAGAGAACATATATTTGAATATTTGTAAGAGTGTATGAGTCAAGAACTTGATTTGGCTAAAATTTAAAAAACAAATGGTAAGAGCAAACAGTAGGTTTTCTCTACTTTCTCATCACCATCATTTACCAGTCATGATGCTGTTCAATTTCTTCAATGAATCCCACACCTAATTCATGTTTTTCCCAACCTATCCACATTTTCCCATCAACTTCAGCATCTCTGTATATTCTCTACTCCAAGTAGAAATCAGCAGAGAGCTCGTTTCAAAGGAAAGATAAGAAGCTTTCTTTTCAGTAGGTTAAATGTGAAACAGTAAGATACCCAAATGGAAATATTCAGTAAGGTGTAAATGGGGAACATGAAATCAACAAAACGGTTAAGAAAATGAGATGCCAATTTGATCACCATAAATACAGAAGTGATTAATGAAACTGGGTGTGATCTCAGGAAAAGGTAATTTAGAGAAAGAATAAGCTAAATGTTTATTCTGGCCTTCTATACAATGTTATGCCTAACCCTAGATCATTTTGTTTCTGTCATCTTGCTCAAAACTGCCAAGTACTACTGAATAAAAAGTTATGGAATCCTTCAAAGTGAGTTCATTATAAGTTCATTTTAATTTTGACAGAATACTACTTCTAAGCAATCCTTTATTCTCTTATTGTTGATTCATTAGAACGCAATGATTTCTAACTTATGAGCTTTCAGCCTCCTGGGAAGCTGTTAAATTAGTTATCTCAGTGGGTACCCAGGGCATTGCATTACATAAAGACAATTTCTCACATACATGTATTAACATTTTTCAAATGTGCAGTCCATGTTGTGGTTAATAAAATACAAAGTCATCTAAGAGAGAACTGAGTAGTAGCTTTTTTCTAATATGCATATTCTCCATTGATGAATACTAAAAATGTAACTACAATCATGGGGTGGTCCACAAATTGTTTCGAGGTTAAACAAGTTGTCATCTTCAAAATACTGGTAACAACTGCCTGAAAGTATTCCCCACAGCACAGACATCCTTTCCCCATTCTAAGCTTCCAATTATCCTCTGCCCTCTCCTACTTCTGCTTTCATTTTCCCAAATCAAACAAATCCTCATAGGTACTCTCATCTATCTCAACACATCTGAATTTCTCCTACTTCTGCTTCTCCTACTTCTGCTTTCATTTTCCCAAATCAAACAAATCCTCATAGGTACTCTCATCTATCTCAACACATCTGAATTTATTCTTTCTCCTCTACCTCTATAAATACTTGATGATTTTGCAATTACTGGTGTCTCTCTTCCCTTTTAGGAATAATTCAACAACACATACACCCGATCCTATCTCTAACCTGGCCCCCAACCAAAAACATCAAACAGGTTTAGTCTCTCCTGCTTCACAAGTTTCTTCCTTTCTACCTAAAAACATTATCAGATCTCACCTATATGGAAAAAAAATTTATTTGATTCTGCTTTATGTTTTAACTACTATTTATCTCTTCTTTTTGCTGTCAAGTTCTCAGGGTTAGCAAACTACAGTCTGAGCCAGCCACCTGTTTTTGTAAGTAAGGTTTTATTGACAATAGCCACCCTGATTTCTACAGGTATTATCTAAGGCTGCTTTCCCACAAGGGCAGAGTTGAGTAGTTAAGATATCATATGGCTTGGAAACCTAAAATATTTTCTATCTGGCTTCTTAAAAAAAAAAAATTTGCCAATCCCAGGGGCTCCAAGTATGATCTACATTCAGTGTCATAGTTTCCTGGGGAAGCAGGATGCCATTACAAATTTTGGAGCAATAAAGTACCATGAATAAAAGTGCATTTCAATACCAGTTTTAACAACAGCATATAGGGCAGACATAAAAGAAGACCACTTCCGAAACTAGTGCAAGAGATTGAGCATTAGGCACAAAGGGAGAAAAATGAAAAGAATGAACTTTTTGAAGGAATAAGCATTAAGACTAGATGACCACATTATTATAGAGACAAAGCTAGCAGCAAAATTTTAATCCTTGATGATGTAGCTTTCAAAATTTGCATTCTCTCCTATAGTCTACCCTATACGAACAGCTCTTCCTATTTTCCTCTTTCCGACTGTGAAGTTACTAAAATCCTAACACTAATTCCATATATTCTGTGTGCCAGGCATTTCCCATGCTTGCTATCTAACTCCCGGGTAAGCAAATCTTGTAGTAAGAGGCAGTACCAACAGAATTGGTTGAATGAGAGCACAGGGCCAAGGTCAGAGGTGGATGGAGTACTCACCTGTACCTCCCACCTTGGGAGGCTGAGGGAGGATAGCTTGAGCCCAAGTGTTCAAAGTTGACAGTGAGCTATGATCACGCCACTACACTCCAGCCTGGGTGACAGAACAAAACCCCAATTCCAAAAAAAAACCAAAAAAACCCTGATAAACCTGTTTATTCCTGTGCTTGTTATAAAACTGTGTATAAAATACAAACGTAATAAAGACCTAAAATTGAGAGAAAACTCCCAACTTTGGGAATAAATGCATAAAGTGAAACACTTAGTACTGTGAGCATATTAAATCCTTCTCAGCCTTCATCTTTTAAACTTGGCTCAAAATCACTTCCCACCAGATTAAATTAAATGCCCCTTTTATAGGCTTTCATAGCACTTTACATTTCAAAACACTCATCACATTTCTAATTATTTATTCAATGTAAATCTCCCAGAAGCACAGATCACAAACCACAGGAGGGGCAGGAACTATATACACTCTGCTAAACAATGAATCACCAAAGCCAAGCAGGGTAACTGGTATTTTGGGGGCCATCTATAAGTATCTGTTGAATTTATAAATGAATTATAACACCAGGCCATTTGTCCTTCAGCCCTGATAAATCTAGTATGTGCTTAAAATACAGAAATTATGATAGGATAAATTTCTCTGCTGTCTTTCAACTACTCCAAAGTCTTAGAAATTCTCATATCTACACAGTAGATGTTTCCATTAGGTACTGATGGACTACTGACTAAAATGAGAGCTCTGGAAAAATAAGCTTGTGTCCAAAAATCAAGGACAGCCCAGACAGCAATAACAATGCCAATTTATTCTTTTTTCCACTTGTAGCTATACACATAAAGTTAAAAATAGTTGTTTTCTTAGCCACTCAAATTTCTGCCCAAAATGTCAGGGTGTTGTGATGCTAGTTCTGGTAATAGAACCAGCTTAATCCCAAGAACCAAATGGACAAGAGCCAAAAATGTACTACATTCTTGCTGGAGTTTTTTGTTTTCCAGAAATAAATAAACCCACCTGTTAATGCTTTTCTTCTAAAAGGTATCATATACCTGTGCCCTTGTTGTACTGTCCTTCAGGTGGCTATGCTGTTATTGTCACACAAATTGAATGTGATTGTCTGAATAATGCTCATAGCATTCATCAGTTTATATTGAATTGTTAGCCTCAGAGGAATTCAAATAAAAGATGAATCCTTTCCTTTTTATTTAATAGGTAAATTAATTCTAAAAGAAGTCAAAGGAATTATGCTTCTTTCAAAATCCTCACTGGATCCATCCTGAGGATCCAGTGTGGACTTAAGATAAAACATAATTCCAGTGCAGCACAGAAAAAAATTAAAGAGCTAAATTACAGTTACAAATTTGTACTACTCTTGCAGCCATCCCAAAGGAAAGGGATTAAGAATAGAGCCATAGGCACACCTGTGAATGTATGCCAAAAATAAACTACAGAACCATAATAAAAACTGACTTCCCTGGGTCGAAGGATTTATCTCTTTCTCTAAAATGTAGAAAAATGAATTTAACAATTTAGCCCCTATGGCCTTTAAGAGGATTTTGTACCGTCTGTACTTGAAAATTGTGCTGGGCATAACCTGCTCTCTTATTTAGGTAGCTTATGTATGCCAGGGTTAAAGTCTGCCTGAGGCTGTTGTGGTTTATGTTACCGCTTTAATTACATTCAAATGAATTTAATAACTTTTTTAAAAAAGAGTATTCTCAGAGGACAATATATATGTTTTTTTACATACACACAAACAAACCCTTGACTCAGAAGGCTTTCTCAGCTTTTTGATCCCTGTACGTTGACTCCCAAGTATACTAACTAGATAACAAAATCAGATTATCTCATACAGACTACTCAATCTACCCACAGGAAACTGAAGTACAAAGAGATAGGAGGCCTATCCAAGGTTATGCAGCTGGTTAAGAACACAGCTAGAAGTGATTCACGTTTCTGTGATTCTCAGCCAACTGTCCACTAAAATTTTTAAATAAAATTTCCAAATAAGTAATTTCAAAGTAAAAAAACACCTTCCTTCATTGAAGTATTTGCATTGGTTCTAACACCTAAGTTTACCTCACAAATATCCATTTTACCTCCCAGCAGAGTTTAACAACTATGAATGAGACATTTTCGTTGGAAGAAAAACACACATTTGTCAGTTTATCATCCAAGAATCTCCCAAGTTAGTACTCAAAGACTTTATCAATCCCGTGACCAGAAAAGATATTTCTTATATAAGATCCTAAAATATCATGGAAATGGAAATGAAACTTATCTAAGAATCAAAATAGCTTAACAAATATAAAACAGCTATAGAATAACTGCAAAGGCTCTTCCCATTCAAAAGAGGGAGTAGTATTCATTGACTGAATTGTTTTAAACTAGACAACTTAAGGCTTATTTAAGCTTTCAGAATTTACTTTATGTTTTTTGAGATGGAGTTTCGCTCTTGTTGCCCAGGCTGCAGTGCAATGGCGCGATCTCGGCTCACCGCAACCTCTGCCTCCCGGGTTCAAGCAATTCTCCGGCTTCAGCCTCCCGAGTAACTGGGAGTACAGGCATGCGCCACCACGCCGGCTAATTTTTGTATATTTAGTAGAGACGGGGTTTCTCCATTTTGGTCAGGATGGTCTCGAACTCCTGACCTCAGGTGATCCGCCCGCCTCGGCCTCCCAAAGTGCTGAGATTTACAGGCGTCAGCCACCGCGCCCGGTCTTTAATCAATCTTTCTGGTCTCACAGCCTACCTACTGGTCATTCTGACCTTTTGCTCTTATTTACTTCCAAAGCACCTTTAGCCTCCCTAGATGTTCCTTCTTGACGACATAGGAATCTATCTCGGGCCGATTTAAATCAAATCCACAGCCTCATTTTCAGTCCAAATTTCACTGCAATATGCTGAACACACTTTACTTTCAACGTAAAATTTCTTTCTTACTATTAATGAGCTATCCTGATAGTGACAGGTGAAACACAATTGACTAAGGGGTTAAAATGTCCATTTTTCAAATGCCACGGCCACTCTGAATCAAATCTGAGATTGGAGTGGAGAAACCAAATGTGTAAAACAAAGGTCACAAAACAGAGGCAGAGCACAGTATTTCAGTGGGGGAAAAAAAATAAGCTAAATTTAGTCACATAAGTCCCAGCTCTTCTTGGGATATATATATGATTTTTATGAGAACTAATCCTATCCGGAAACATTTCCTTCACCTTTCCCTTAGCCCTTTTCCTTCGGTCATGCAGTCTCTTACCGTGCTAATTATCATATTAATATAATCCTCACTTGCGATCCTTCCTGACTTTATTCCCCATCCTCAGATTCTCTTGAAAGCATAATGCCTTCCTAAGTATACACACAATCCATTTAAAAGTCTTTGTATGCGACAGCCTAACTATTCAAACACGAAGTCATTTCTCTAACGGTCCTAGAAAAAATTTTTTAAAAGAAAAAGAAAACCACAAAGTCAAGAGCTTCTGAGGGGACCTGAAAAGTCATCAAATTGAACGCTCTCGTTTTATAGTTGGAGAAACTTATTCACTGAGCTAAAAGGGCCCTACTAATGGAGCCCCTAATTCAACTGTGTAATCTGATATAATCTTAAATTCAGCCTCAATAAGAGCTTTCTGGAATCGCCAGCGAGTCCGTGGGGGAGCCACGGCTAGAACCCAGGCCTCCTGATTCCCAGCCACAGCTTTTCCACCGAACCGGCAGCTCTTCCCAAAAGTTGAAGGCAACTGTCCGCTCACCGTCCAAGACTACTCGTTTTACATGAGGAAAGGGTCACAGCTCCCGAAATTTTGGATTCCACGGCGGCAGCTGCTGCTTCTGACAGCAGAGGCGGGAGGTGGCCCAGGACTACTCGGTCCTCAAAGACTGGACTCTCTCTCGGCGCGCCCGGACCTCCGCGCTTCACTGACTGGCTTCCCTAGAAGACTGGGGGCCTTGCGGGGAGATAAAAAGGGCAGACACGCCACCCCCACCGAGGCCCTGGACGCCCAGCCGCCCTAGAATCACGACCTTAGCCCTTGGAAAGCCAGGGAGATGCGGACCCCCTAGACCCGCAGCCCGGCCGCGTGGGGCGGCGCGCAGCTGAGGGACCAGGAGCTGCGCCCCACCACAAGTGAGGGGCGGACCGGAGACGCCGAGGTCGGCGAGGGGGCACGCGCTAGTTCCACAGCTCGGCTGGCGAGACGGAGGGTAGGCAGGGGTCCCAGGCCGCGGGTGACTCGGGGTCCGTCACATACATACTCACTGCCGTAGCTGCAAACAGAAAGCACCAAACAGGGACCAAAACGCGTAGAGGGACGGGGAGGGGCGAGGACAAATGAGGTAAGGAGGCCGCGTCCGCGCAGACCCGGGAGGAGAGAAGGCACTTCCGGGACAACACAGCCCTAGGCGTCGCCTTCTGTGTCCGCCCACCTGTCGCGCCTGGTATGCGCATGCGTACTAAGTGCGAACCTTTCTCTGCCCCGCCCATAATCTTTAGATTTGCCTTCCATGCTTTGCCCCTTCCCCTTCCCATCTTCTCTTGAAGTTACCTAGATTGCGTCTATTATTTGAATGACTCGTACAAAAGAGATGCTATTTATCGGGCAAAAGCCGGGAGTTCGTGCCCTCTACGCCCGCAAGGAAAACTACAACTCCCATGAGGACACGGGTGAGATTGAGGCCGGGCTCCGCCTCCTTCTCCCTGGAGCTTGGTGGACGCCTTCCCAGTGCCACGTGGCGGGGAGCTGATCTGATCGCGGGCGTGACGACGGCCCGCACGGCTAGCTGCTTGGCCCGCGGGCCTGGGCAGCCCTGGAGCGGGAAACGCCTCCGTGAGAACGCATGGCTTCAAGCTTCTCCCTTGCGCTCCTGATCTTAGGCTGATCGCTTTTACCTTTAGGTTGAAGTTGAACACAGTTCACACTGTGCTCTTCCTCCCCCTCTTTCTGGAATTCCAGGCAACAGATTTAACACTTTATGAATCTTGAAGAGCTGCACTCCTCCTAAATATTGCAGTTAATGCTGATCCTTTGGAAGCCTCCGAAGGCCACAAGGCTGTGATGGGAGCCTCTGGCTTCAGTTGCCTTTCTCACACCTTATTTTAATACTCAAGGTAAACCCTTCTGTACAACTTTAGAAATAACTGTCAACCTAAAGGAAAAACGGAGGCAAAGTTAATATAAATAGAGAATTTATTTGGGCCAAGTCTCAAGAATGCAAACTGGGAGCATCACTTCAAGTTACCCTTAATTTAATACATGATCTTAGCAGCAGTTTCAAGTGAGTTCTTTGTTTTGTTGGCCAGGAAGCTTGAACTCTTGTCTCAAAGGAATTGATCCTTCCATCTCTGCCTCCCAAAGTACTGGGATTACAGGTGTGGGCGACTGCACCCGGCTACAAGTGAATTTTTAAAGGAAAAAAAAAGAAGAGGCCCTTGCTAAATTGTATTCCAAGAATTTACATTAAAATAACAACCTATCCATTGGCTATACTTGTTCTTTCTATCACGGATTCTGGGAACACGAAGATAAAGGGTGATGCTTGTACAGGGCAGAAAAGAACAAAGTGCCTTTAAACAATTGCTAGTGTACATGGGGATGGTGCTAACTGACATCTCATACTCAGGTCTCTCTGGGTCTGATAAATTTTGAATGCCTGGCCGGGCTGGTGGGGTTGCTCACACTCGTAATCTCAGCATTTTGGGAGCCTAAGGGGGAAGGATCTCTTAAGGCCAAGAATTCGAAACCAGCCTCGGTAATATACCAACAGGCTATCTCTTAAAAAATTTTAAAAATTAGCCAGGCACGGTGATGCATCATGCAACCGTGCTCCATCCTGGGTGACAGACTGAGATCCTGTCTCAAAAAATAAGATAAAGAATAAATCTCCTTTTTATAAAATCTTTTTATAAAAATTAAATAAAAATTAAAATTTTTAAATAATTCAAATTTTAAATATTAGCTAGGTGTGATGGGGCACGCCTGTAGCTCTAGTTACTCAGGAGGCTGGGGCGGGAGGATTGCTTGAGCCTGGAAGTTCAAGGTCACTGTGAGCTGTGATTACACCACTGCACTCCAGCCTGGATAAGAGACCCCATAACTTTAATTAAAAAAAAATGGGGGACTGGGCACGGTGGCTCATGGCTGTAATCCCAGCACTTTGGGAGGGTGAGGTGGGAGGATCACTTGAGTCCAGGAGTTCAAGACCAGCCTGGGCAACATAGTGAGACCCCATCTCTATTTCTTAAATTAGTAAATACAAATACAAATAAATTGTTTTGTTCTGTGAGTTACCAGGAATGTAAAAAAGATTAAAATAAAATAAATTGTTGCATACTTTTAATATAGCGTAGACTGCTCTATTTTTCTCCTGTCATAATGAAACACTTTGCCAGTTCATTGGCCCCTCTAAATTCTCCTCAAGATAAGTGTGACTTTGATTTTTTTCACCAACATTTATTGAACATGGGTTAAGAGACGGGTGGTGTTAGAGAGTGCAGATAAGTACTACATTTTTAAGCGACTGGTCTCACAGAGCCAGGAGTTTGCCTGGGAAAACAGTTAAAGTCTAAGGGTTTGGCTAGAAAAGAATTAGAACATTAATTAACATTATGGTAAGTGCTGGGAAGGAGGACAGGGTACTATGAAAGGGTAAAATTGGAGAACCACTTTGCAGATAAGGAAAGAAGCATAGAAGCAGCTCACAGATTAATGATTGTTTGTTTAGGTAATGTGTATTGTGTAAAACAAATGTCACCTTTTAAAAAATATTCAGCTTTTATTAAGTGCCTGTATTACTCCTGTCTATCTATTATATATAATATTTTAAATTTCAACAACACTTTATGGGTTATATATATATATATATATATATATATATATATATATATTTTTTTTTTTTTTTTTTTTTTTTTGAGATGGAGTCTTGCTCTGTCACCCAGGCTGGAGTACAGTGGCGCTATAACATCTCACTGTAACCTACCTTCTAGTCAAGTGATGCTCCCACCTCAGCCTCTCAAGTAGCTGGGACTGCAAGCTCACACTACTATGACCTGCTACTTTTTCTTTTTCTTTTCATAGAGATGTGGTATCCCCGTGTTGCCCAGGCTGGTCTTGAACTTCTGCTCTCCTTGGCTCAAGCAATCCTCCTGCCTCTTCCTCCCAAAGTGCTGGGATTACAGGTGTGAGCCACAGAGCCTGGCCAACACTTTCAAGTTGATTTTTTTAAATTCTCATTTCACAAAAAAAAAAAAAAAAAAAAGAAAGAAAAAAAGGAACAGATGTAGAAAGACTAAGTAACACTTATAGAAGGCCATAAGCTTAGGACATATAGTCATGTGCTGCTTAATAACGTTCCAGTCAAAAACAGACTGCACATACTACAGTGGCCCCGTAAGGTTATTTTATCATATTTTTATTTTACCTTTTTCATGTTTAGATACACAAATACTTACCATTGTGTTACAATCACCTATAGCATTCAGTACAGTAACATGCAGTTTTCTAGCCTAGGAGCACTATGCTCTACCATATAGCCTAGATGTGTAGTTGACTATACCATCTAGGTTTCTGTAAATACACTCAATGTTTATACAACGATGAAGTTGGCTAATGACGCATTTCTCAGAACATATCCCAGTCTTTAATGACACATGACTGTACTCCTAATTACCATGTCCCGTCTTCCCACTGTCACACATGCATTCAACAAAGATTTCCTACTTTCCCATGCTCAGAATGCTTCAGCCTCCCCGTTTAGTTTATGTCTTCAAACCTAGAGTCCTTTGGATGGCATAAAAGGCACTTCATGAGCTGACATCTGCCTACCGTTGACACTGAATCCTGAGCAGTTGCCAGAACACACCATGCCCTCCCACACCTGTGCCTTTGCAGAGAACACTCCACTGCCTGTAAAGCCCTTCTCCCTGTCCTTCTAACATATACCCACTCACCCTACTCTGCGGCAGTTTTGGGTCTTCAGGGAAACTTTCCACCTCAGCCTCTCTCCACATACACAGCATTTCTCTTTCTAATTGAAGCTGTCTCTACTCCCCATTTCTCCTTTTTTTCTTTTCTTTTCTTTTCTTTTTTTTTTTTTTTTCGACACAGTATCTCACTCTGTCACTCAGGCTGGAGTGCAGTGGTGTAAACACAGCTCACTGGCACCTCAACCTCCTGGGCTCAAGAGATCTTCCCACCTGAGCCTCCCAGGAAGCTGGGACTACAGGCGTGCATCACCACACTGCACCTGGCTAATTTAAAACTATAAACATTTTGTAGAGATGGGATCTCGCCGTGTTAACCAGGCTGGTCTTGAATTCCTGTCTCAAGCAGTCCTCCCGCCTCAGTGTGAACCACAGTGCCCAGCCCCTACTTCTTGAAATCATGGGTGACAGCATGCACAAATATCCTGAAGTCTTTCTTACAGAGTATTTTCTAAAGAGACCAACATTTATTTGAGAAGGGAAGCACCTGTTCTTCCCACGGCAGTGGTAGTAGGACAACAATGCGCAGCTGAATTGGGATGAGGGGCCAGGACAAAGCAGAAATCTGCTGCAGAGAGCAGGAAAGATATTCTGTAGCAGGATCTGGGCAAGCGGCACTCATCCATATCCTTTGCATTGCAAAGAGAGGAGCTACCTCCTTCCTTTTTATTTTCCAGTTTATTGGTGGCTCCTAGAACCTCTGAGAACTAACTGATTTTGACCTCTTAACAGTTGCCTTTCAACTACCATTCATTTACTGCAAGCCTACTGTGTAACAGGCCCTTGCTAACCACTTCAGATATATTGTCTCTTGTCCAGCTTCAAGTGACTCTCTTAGGGAGGGATTAGCCTCACCTCACTAGTATGGAAATGGAGACTTGGAGTAATCAAGTGACTTGCTCTGAATTACACAGCTGGGAAGTGGTGAAGCTGGAATTCAACTCAAGTTATGTCTAGATCTAAAACTCATGCTCTTTTCTATGCTCAAAGCTGCATATCAAAACTGAACTTTAGCATGGAGTCTATGATGACTGGCTCATGTCTCTCCACCCAGCACCTAGCCCAAGGCCAAGCACAGAGAAGGCTCACAGTGGACACTTTTGGAATGAGTAGATTTTTTATGGAATGGTTGGTAAATGAAGGCCTGGGCACGGTGTGAACAGTGTTGTGGGACAGCAGAGGAGGGGGTAGTGGCTGATTAGGGGACGTGGAGAAGCCTCTGCAGAGGAACAGAAATGAGTGAGGCCTGGAGAAATAAGTAGTCAGACAAAGACGGACAATTCAGCATTCTCACAGCAAAGACCACTAACAGGCAATTCACAGAACAGGAAACCCAAAGGCCGTGAATAGGTGCTCTGCATCACTAACAGTCAGAAAAATGCAAATTATCTCATGCACAGTAGATGAGAATACAAACTGGAAAAGTGTGTTAGGAGAGCTATTTAATAGCATCTATCACAATTATAAATGAGGTATGTTCTTAAATGTGTGTACAAACATTGTGATAGAAAAAATGGAAATATTCATTAGTAGGGAACAAACTAAACAAGAACACATTTATACCATTTAAAAATATTATGCCACGTTTGGCTGGGCACAGTGGCTCACACCTGTAATCCTAACACTTTGGGAGGCTGAGGAGGGCAGATTGCCTGAGCCCAGGAGTTTGAGACAAGCCTGGGCAACATAGCCAGAGGCAGTCTCTAGGGGAAAAAAAAAAATATATATATATATATATGTGTATATATATATATATATATATATATATATGCACACACATATGTGGCATATGTATATATATGTATATATATGTATATATATGTGTGTGTATATATATATACACATATGTGGCATATATATACATATATATATGCCATTTTTAAAAGAATAAAGGGAATCTGCATGCACTGACATGGAAAGATTGCCAAAGACGTACACTTAAATGAAAAAAGGTAAATTGCAGAGCAGTAAGGATATAGTGTTCTCATTTTATTATGTTTTTAAAGGGTACAAGTGTGCCTGTGTATAGATATGTGTGTATATAAGTGCATAGACAAAATACTAGATGAATACCAATCGTTAACAGTGGTTATTTACCTCTTAGGAGGGGAGTAGGAATGGAGGAGATTGAAGAATGACTTTCACTTTAAAAAGTGAGATGTGATTCATTGAGAAAAACAGCACATTACTTCTATGGCATTCACATCAAAAGTGCGTAACTTGAATATAACCATGAGGTACACTCTAAAAATACTGGACTTATCTCTTCAAAACTGTCAGTGGCAGGAAATGCAAAGAAAGACCGAGGAACTGTACCGCATTAAAGGAACAATTGGCAACATCCAGATCTAGGTTAGAGGACAGTACTGCATTAACATTATTTCCCCAATTTTTATATTTACATTGTGGTTATGTAAGAGAATGTCTTGGTTTTATTTTTCAGGTCGAGCACACTGAACTACCTGGAGTAAAGGGGCATCATGTCTGAAACTGATGCTTAAGTGGCTCAGAAAAAAAATTCTGGGAGCTAGAGGGAGAGAGAGACAGAGGAGTGTGGTAAAAAGTTAACATTTTGGGGATCTGCGTAAAGGTATATGAGGATTCTTTGTACAGATTTTGCAATTTTTCTCCAAATGTGAAATTATGTCAAAATATAAAATTAAAAGACAAAATTAAAAGAATGAATGAGAGTTTGCTAGGTAGAGAAGCAGGGGGATCTTCTGGCAAAGGAACAGGATAAGCAAAAGCATCACAAGTGTGCGAGTCTTCTGTGTTGACAAACAAGCCCTGACTCTGAATATCCAGGACTAGCATGGTGTGGGGAGACGGGGATTAGACGTATGATGAGCAGCATAACCCACAAATGGACACATTTCCCTGCTACCTAAGATTGGAAGTAAAGACTTTAGGCCTACATTATACCCAGCCTCAAGAGTTGCAAGACATAACATGAGTTCTCATGGCGGCTCAGTCTTTGCATTGGCAGTGTCTCTTCATCCAGTGACTGTGTGGAACAATGGAAGCCCTAGAATCATGGCTGAAAGGGACATCTAGTCCAACTCTCTCATTTTGCAGAAGGGACAACTAAGATGCAAAATGAAGAGATTTGCAAGGCCCCAGCAAAGGTTAGTGTTAAAACTGGCCTGCAGGCCGGGTGTGGTGGCTCACACCTATAATCCCAGCACTTTGGGAGGCCTAGGAGGGTGGATCACCTGAGATCAGGAGTTTGAGACCAGCCTGCCCAACAAGGTGAAACCCTGTCTCTACTAAAAACACAAAAATTAGCCAGGTGTGGTGGCACACGCCTGTAATCCCAGCTACTGGGGAGGCTAAGGCAGGAGAATCGCTTGAACCCAGGAGGTGGAGGTTGCAGTGAGCCGAGATTGTGCCACTGCACTCCAGCCTGGGCAACAAGATCGAAACTCCGTCTCAAAAGAAAAAACTGGCCTACATTTCACAATCCATCACTCTTTCTATTTGCACCAACGTCTAAATGATAAGGGAGAAGAAATAGAAGGCTAGCAAGGGAAGTGACTGAATGTTAAAGTTTGGATGTTTTTTATTTGCACAAACTTAGTGTCTGTACAATTTTAAAAGTAAACAATATAGATACCAATGTTATTGTAGAAACTGTTGTCACTTAAGCCAATAGCTTCCAACTGGTAAGTGATATTCAATTCAGGCTCCTAGGTCTGAAGCAGCAATCAAGGTGATTCTCAGGAATTCTCAATGACATTGGTACCCATCTGGATTTGTTGAAAAGTTTAACATCCTTTTGTATTATTCATGATTTTGCAGTTCTTCAAATTGCAAAGTGATGGAGAGAGCACACAATTTTCAACCAGCCTATGAAATCGTTCTTGAAAATGTGGAAATTCATAGAGATGGCTTTTAATTTTTCTTGGAGACCGCCTTTCCTTATGAAATAATGAAATTTAAAAATATATATTATAAATTAAACTACATACATGATAATATTCTCATTACAATAAAATCCTAGGGATAAGGAACTAGTATTGCAAGGGCACCATTCCCGTTTTTTATTATTATTCCTAGTTGGAATTTTATTCCTCAAGGCTTAGCTCTAAGTGACTATATAATGAATACTGACTGGCAAAACTATTGGGATTCTAATTTAAGAATCATCAGATTCTGCACAAGAAATCTTGAAGCATGTCATCAGTAACATGTGGAGAAGCTGCCTAAAAAGGCATGCCTTTCTTTTAAATGTCCATGAGCCCTGGATCCACAGATTATGAGACATGAAGGATCACGCATGCTCAAACAGGGCTTATTTAGGTGTCATCTATAGAGGGGCTGCTCTCTTCAGCTGCCCGTCCCGGACCCGGGAATTATGTCTACAGTTTTCAGTTTCGACATGTCTTTGCGGCAATGCTACCATGAATTATTTTACTTGGGACTTTAGATTAACCACAAAAGAAACTAATTGAAAATAACTAAGATCATTCTGTCATGTGAGCCACAGTTGACTACAGTCAACTTAAGCACAATTATATATGATAAACTATAGACGTGATACTTTGTGTTTCAACCATTATTATCCATTGTTTCTTACTCAACTGGTGAAACCATTAGCAATATGGGGCTTTAAAAGGACTGTCTCTGTGATATCCTCTTCCTCTGCCTCCCTTCGGGATCTGATATTCTTCTATGGTTGACTGACGAGTCTGCATATGGGTGTTGTATTTCTTATATCACACCTATTAATTGCAGAAGTTTCTGTCTCCCTATCCCCAATACCTCAAACTTCCTGTTTCCTGTACAGTCTTCAACAACTCTATCTGCATGGCTCTAGCAATCCCTGTTCTTACTTGCTATGGACAGATCTGTTAAAATCCTGGAACTGCCACACAGTTTCTTCAGAATGTTTGATGTCTCCCTCCAGAGAATGGCTTTTTTCTCATTGTGCTATGCCGTTGCTCTCAGAACTTACCCCCTGGAACTTTCTCTTTTCTGTGCCTACGCTCAGCTGCGTGGAAATAGTGAGAGAGGTTTTATTATCATCTATGTTGGTTTCTTGGCACAGAGAGAATCTACCTATCTGAATATTAGCCAAAGAAAGCTCCAGACTGGTAAGAAAGCTCAGTTAGTGAACGGCCGGGCAGGGTGGCTCATACCTGTAATCCCAGCAATTTGGGAGGCCGAGGCAGGAGGATCCCTTGAGCCCAGGAGTTTGAGATCAGCCTGGGCAATATGGCAAATCCTCATCTCTACCAAAAAATACAAAACATTAGCTGGGCCTGCTCATGGGCACTTGTATTCCCATCTACTTGGGTGGCTGAGGCAGGAGAATCACCTGAGCCCAGGAAGTCCAGGCTGCAGTAAGCTATGATCATGCCACTGCACTCCAGCCTGGGCAACAGAGTGAGACCCTGTCTCAAAAATAAAAGAAAGAAGGAAAGAAAACCAGTGCAGGCCAGGCATGGTGGCTCACTTGTGGGAGGCTGAGCCAGGAGGATTGCTTAAGGCCAAGAGATTGAGACTAGCCTCATAAACATAGGGACCATGTCTCTACAAAAAAGTATTCAAACAAATAAATAAATAAATAAATAAATAAAACAAATGCAAAATTGTATCTTAGATAAATGCTATATATGAGAGGCTCTGTGAGAAACTACAATGGAGATATTGACTTATTCAGGAAGGTTAGAGAAGGCTTCTACAAAGTCGGGACATGATATCTGAAGGATAAGTAGGAATAAACTGAAAGAAGCATCAAGGGTAAAGTATTTCAGGCAGAGGAAACAGCAGGTGCAAAGGTCCTGGAGCAAATCAATAGAGACTGAAATGTCACTGGGGCTGGAGACGAGAGTAGAGGGGAGTAGGAGCACTGGAGGGCCTGGCGACATAAGGAGGGGCCAGACTGTGGGGCTTTGAATGCATGCGAGAAATTTTGATTTCTAGCCGAGGAGCGATGGGAAAACAGTGTTAGAACAACAACAAAAGAAATGTACACTCATACACTGTTGGTAGGAGGGTAAATTGATGAAGTCTTTTAGAAGAAGAATTTGGCTGTACTGAATCAAAATACGATTTTGATAAAATGTTAATCAAATGACACAATGACCTTTGACCCAGCAAATCCATTCTAGGAATCTTTCCTAAGTAGACACTACTACATAAGTATAGATAGATATAGATATAGATATATGTACACATGCACAAATATATTCATTGTGGCAATAGTAAAAAAAAAATCAGAAACAAATTAAATGTCCATCAATCAGGAATAGATTAAATAACATGTGGCACAACCATAATGGAAAACTTACATGTTTCTCAATTTATTTGAGACCATTTTTGCTTCAGCTATTTTGAAGTTGTTATTAAAAACATACACTTACATGGATGAATCATTTTTCGTTAAGAAAAGTCCTTCTTTATCTTTGTAATACTGTCTTCTTGACATCTACTTTATCTGATATTAGTATAGTCTCTGCAGCCTTTGTAACTATTTGCATAGTACATTGTTTTTGATCCTTTTACTTTCAACTTGTCTTTACATAAAGTGCATGTCACATAGACAGAATATAGTTCTGCATTTCTTTCTTTCTTTCTTTCTTTCTTTCTTTCTTTCTTTTTTTTTTTTTTTGAGACAGAGTCTCCCTCTGTCGCCTGCCCAGGCTGGAGTGCAGTGGTGCAATCTCGGCTCACTGGAACCTCCAGCTCCCAGGTTCTAGTGATTCTCCTGCCTCAGCCTCCTGTGTAACTGGTACTGCAGGCACCTGCCACCACACCCAGCTAATTTTTGTATTTTTAGTAGAGACGGGGTTTTGCCATGTTGGCCAGGCTGGTCTCGAACTCCTGACCTCAGGTGATCTGCCTGCCTCTGCCTCCCAGAGTGCTGGGATTACAGGTGTTAGCCACTGCACGCAGCTTTTTTTTTTTTTTTTTTTTTTTGAGATGGAGTCTCACTCTGTCGCCAGGCTGGAGTGCAGTGGCGCAGTCTTGGCTCACTGCAACCTCTGCCTCCCGGGTTCAAGCAATTCTCCTATCTCAGCCTCCCAAGTGGCTGGGAGTACAGACATGTGCCACCACACCCAGCTAATTTTTGTATTTTCAGTAGAGTTGGGGTTTCACCATTTTGGCCAGGATGGTCTCGATCTCTTGGCCTTGTGATCTGCCCGCCTCAGCCTCCCAAAGTGCTGCGCTTACAGGCGTGAGCCACCGCGCCCAGCTATTTTTTTTTTTTTTTAAAGAGACAGGGTCTTGTCCATTGCCTAGACTGGAGTGCAGTTGCAAAATCATAACTCACTGTAACCTTTAACTCCTGGGCTCAAGCAGTCCTCTTACCTCAGCGTCCCGAGTAGCTGGGACTACAGGCATACCCCACCACCCCCAGCTAATTTTTAAATTTTCTGTAGAGACTAGGTCTTGCTAGGTTGCCCACACTAGTCTTAAACTTCTGGCGTCAAGTGATCCCCCACTTCCTTAGCCTCCCTAAGCGCTGGGATTACAGGCAGGAACCACGGAGCCCTGCCCCATTAATCATTTAAAAGTGTACAGTTCAGCAGCATTTAGTGCATTCACTATGTTGCATTAAGTTGGCGCAAAGTAGTTGCCATTAAAAGTAATTAAAAGTTTTGACAAAAACCGCAGTTACTTTTGCACCAACCTAATACAACCACCACCACCTCTCTCTGGTTTCAAAACTTTTTCATCACCCCCAGAAGAATATTCTATAGGCTTTAAGTAATAACTCCCCATCTCCCCTTCCTCATTCTCTGACAACCAGGAGTCTGCTTTCTGTCTCAAGGGATTTGCCTATTCAAGGTACGTCGTGTATAAGGAATCATACAATATGTAACTTTTTGTGTCTGGCTCCTTTTACGTAACACAAAAATGTTTGAGGTTCATCCAAGTTGTAGCGTGTATCAGTGCTTCATTCTTTTTCTGGGGGCGGGGTGGCAGGGGACAGGTCTGACTCTGTCGCCCAGGCCGGAGTGCAGTGGCATGACCTCAGCTCACTGCAACCTCCGTTTAATTCCTGGTTTAAGTGATTCTCCTGCCTCAGCCTCCCCAGTAGCTGGGATCACAAGCAGGCGCCACCATGCCTGGCTAAGTTTTGTATTTTTAATAGAGATGGGGTGTCACCATGTTGGCCAGGCTGGTCTTGAACTCCTGGCCTCAGGTGATCCACCTGCCTTGGCATCCCAAAGTGCTGGGATTACAGGCAAGAGCCACCATGCCTGGCCTCACTACCCATTTGCAAATTGTTTGTATTTTTGTTTCAAATTGTAAGCATTCTTTATATATTCTGGACACTAAACCCTTATGAGATAAGGTTTGTAAATATTCCCTCCCATTCTGTAGGTTGCCTTTTCACTTTATTGATAATATCCTTTAATTTGCAAAAGTTTTAATTTTTGTGAAATCTAATTGATCTATTTTTTCTTTTGTTGCTTGTGCTTTGGGGTCTTTTAAGAATCCATTGCCAAATCCAAACTCATAAAGATTTACCCCTATGTTTTCTTCTAATGTAGTTTTATACTTTCAGCTCTGGTATTTAGGTCATTGATCCATTTCAAGTTACTCTTTGTATATGAAGTGAGGTAGGGATCCAACTTCATTCTTTGGCATGTAGTTTTCCAGTTCTCCCAGCACTATTTTGAAGAGACTGTTTATTCCCCCATTGAATGTTCTTGGCACGCTTGTTGAAAATCAGGTGACCATAGGTGTTTGGGTTCATTTCTGGACTCTCAACTTTATTCTGTTGGTCTATATGTCCATCCTTATGATGGTATCACACTGCTTTGATTACTGTAGTTTTGTAGTAAACCCTGTCTCTACTAAAATGCAAAAAATTAGCCAGGAGCAGCAATGTGCACCTGTAGTTCCAGCTACTCAGGAGGCTGAGGCAGGAGAATTGCTTGAACCCGGGAGGCAGAGGTTGCAGTGAGCTAAGATCACGCCACTGCACTCCAGCCTGGGTGACAGAGCAAGACTCCATCTCTTAAAAAAAGAAAGAAAGAAAGAAATCAGAAAGTGGGAGTTCTCCAACTTTGTTTCTCTTTTTCAACATTGTTTTGGCTATTTGGGGCCCCACGCAATTTCCTATAAATTTCAGGATCAATCTTTCCGTTTTTGCAAAAATGGCCATTGGAGTTTTGATAGGGATTCCATTGAATCCGTAGATCATTTTAGGAGTATTGCCATAAGTTTTCTGATATATAACAATGGAATTTCATTACATTAAATTAGGTCTTTTTAAATTTTATTCAGAAGTTTTATAACTTTCAGTGTACAAGTCTTTCTTCCTTGGTTAAATTTATTCCTAAGAATTGTATTTTATTCTTCTGGAATTTTTTTTTTTAGGATCGTTTTTTGATAATGTATATAAACACCACTGGTTTTTGTGAGCTCATCTTGTACCCTGCAACTTTGCTAAATTCACTTACTAGGTCTCATAGATCTTTTGTGTATTCCTTGGGATTTTCTATATGTAGAATCCTGTCTTCTACAACTATAAATATTTCTTCCTTTCCAGTTTGGATGACTATTGTGATTTCAAATGATGAAAGTGTTTTACTTTTTCTTCCCAAACTGCTAGGATTCCCAGTACCATATTGAGTAGCAGTGATGAAAGCAGGCATCCTTATATTGTTTCTGCTGTTAGGTGGAAAGCTTTCAGTCTATCACCAGTAAGTATGAAGAGCTTCCTTGTCTTTCAGTCTTTGGTTGGGGTTGGACAATAGGCAGCATGAGCTAAATTTAGGAGGACAGGAGGGGAATGAAGTCACACCGTTAGTGTGCTGGCTCCCTCTCTGCTGCGTCTGCATGAGTTGATTGTGTTCCTCTACAAAAGACCACAGTTCCTGTCAGGTCCCCTTCTTCATACAGCCACTCCCTCCCTTCCTTGCCCTTTTAGGTGTAACTAACAGGTGAATGCTCCCTGCAATGGCTAGCCCTAGGGTACCATACCTTGTTGTCTTCCCTAGCACTGCCCACCCCTCTGTAAACGGTCCCTTCATGAAACCTTCCTCAGTTCCTCATTTAGAATGTACACCTGTTTCCTGCAGAGACTCTAATTCAAAGACTTAACACTGAGTAAATGGACACATCTTTCTGGACTGCCATCAGCCTGCAGTGGTCCAGCAACACTCCAAAGTGAGTGAGGTTTTAACAACCACCTTATAATCTTTTCTGGCTTTGGATCATATAGAAGTCTGTGACTGGCTATGGGGTAGGAGGAGTTTAGTGGGAACAAGGAAGAGAACTTGCTGCTTTTTATGTCAGCTATGTGTACCTGAGAGATGCAACTTGCATAAACCGTAAAACTTCGTATCCCAATCAGAGTTGCTGAATCGAAGATTTGGAACTGCAACTTCTTCAAATGGGAAGACAAATATTTCCTCCACCTTTGCTTCTGATTCTGCTCATCATCCATTGTTAGTATCCCAGATTAGAATCTGATTAGGACACGCTGGCTGCTTGAACTTTGGGGCTTATTGCTACCAAATATTCGAGCCCAGTCCAACTTTTGTTTCCTAACTGCCTCTACCCCAAGGCCTGATGAAACCCACTTCTTTTGGCCCAAGGAAACTCACATGCTGGCAACATTTATGTACTGTATTCATTTCCTAGGGCTTCCCATAACAAATTATGAAAAAAATGGGGTGACTTTTTTTAACTTGTTTTAACAGCAAGAATTTCTTTTCTCACAGTTTTGGAGGCTAGAAGTCTGAGATCAAGACATTGGCAGGTCCATGCTCTCTGATGGCTTTAAGGAAGAGCCCTCCCTGCCTCTTCCTGGCTTCTGTAGGTTCTTGGCAATCCTTGGTTTGTAGATGCATCACTCCAACCTCTGCCTCTGTCATCACATGGCTACATCTTCTCCCTGCATGTCTCCTTCTTCCTCCTATAAGGCCATTAGTCATACTGAATTAAGAACCCATCATATCTTAACTGATATCTCCAATGACGCTGGTTTCCAAATAAGGTCACTTTTTTTTTTTTTTTTTTTTTTGGAGACAGAGTCTCGCTCTGTCACCCAGGCTGGAGTGCAGTGGTGCAATCTCAGCTCACTGTAACTTCCACCTCCTGGGTTCAAGCGATTCATGTGCCTCAGCCTCCAGAGCAGCTAAAGATAATTTTTTGTGTTTTTAGTAGAGACAGTTTCACCATGTTGCCCAGTCTGGTCTCCAACTCCTGAGCTCAGGCAATCTGCCTACCTGGGCCTCCCAACGTGCCAGAATTACAGGTATGAGCCACCACGCCCAGCCAAATAAGGTCACATTCTGAGATATTAGGGTTTAGGACTTCACCATATCATTTGGGGTGACACAATTCAACCCATAGCAGTATATATTTATCATTTGCAAGGACTTACTTCTCCCTCTCTGACTCATTCCAGTATTAGAAGAGAAAATTGTACTTATAAAGGAAACTTTACAACATTTTATTGAAGCAAAGCAACAGGTGAGCAGAAAAATCAAGAGCCCTCAACTAAAAGTCAAAGGACAGGATTATTGTGCCAGGTATGACATAATTTTCCTGTGTGAACTTTCAAGCCACTTTCTCTCTGTGCCCTTCAGTTTCCTCATCCGTAAAATGAGGAAACAGACTTCATAATTGCCAAGGCAGGTCCCGTTAAGCTCCCCAATTCTAAGATTCTTCGACGTATGCATCCATCGCTAATAGATCTTCTGCAAAGGATACTGTGGGCTTGTTTAAACTGTTTCCTCAGATTGCTTATGCTCAAGGTCTCTCTCGGTCCATTTCCAATTACTCTCCTGTTATCTGTGCGATAGTTTGGCTTATTTGAAAACATCTAGAGAATTCAGTAACCTTGATTCCAAGTGTGAAATATAAAGGCTGCATTTAAAGCTCCATAATTGGACCCAGACATTTCTCCTAATGCTATTAAATCTTCTCATCTAACCTTGATTCAAGGAATATTGTGCAGTTTCCTCTTATGGAGACTCAGAAGCATGCACTGAGGTCAGAGGGGAAAGGAGGAGAATGGGAAGATTTAGGGTCATGACGTATAATTTTACTTATCATTCCATCTGTGAAATTGGCTTACATACTTCCTCCCTGACTTATTTGTACCACTGACTCCTCCAGGGCAGGTGCTCCGTCTTATTCATCTCTGAGTGCACACAAGGACATGCATTTGCCCCCAAAATAGCACATGGCCCAGCCAGTATTGGAGGGAAAAGGGAGGGAGGAAGGCAGAGAGGCCATTCATAAGAGAAGTCCCATCACTGCTCTATTTTCACCCCCACCCTCCTCCTCTGATCCCCTAGACTCAGGTCCTCAGATCCAGGGACTGATTCTCCTTTTTTTTTTTTTTTTTTTTTTCCTTTTTTCTTTTGAGAAAGAGTGATTCTCCTTTTTAAAAAATTGTGGTAAAATAGGCTGGGCATGGTGGCTCATGACTGTAATCCCAGCACTTTGGGAGGTCGAGGCGGGCAGATCACTTGAGGTCACGAGTTTGAGACCAGCCTGACCAACATGTCTAAACCCCATCTCTACTGAAAATATAAAAATTAGCCAGGTGTGGTGGTGCGTGCCTGTAGTCCCAGCTACTTGGGAGGCTGAGGCAGGAGAATTGCTCGAACCTGGGAGGTGGAGGTTGCAATGAGCCGAGATCATGCCACTGCACTCCAGCCTGGGTGACAGAGGGAGACTCCATCTCAAAAAAAAAAAAAAAAAAATTATCCTGGTGTTGGGGCATGTTCCTATAGTCTCAGCTACTTGCGGGGCTGAGGTGGGAGAATTGATTGAGCCTGGAAGGTTGAGGCTGCAGTGTGCTATGATCGCCCTACAGCACTCCAGCCTGGGTGACAGAGTCAGAGACCCTGTCTCAAAAAAAAAAAAAATTATACCAATTTAATAATTTTTAACAGTATAGTTGAGTGGCATTAAATACATTGACATCGTTATACAACCATCACTACCATCCATCTGCAGAGCTTTTTCGTCTTCCCAAACTGAAACTCTGTACCCAGAAAGCAATAATTCCCCATTCCCCTCTTTCCTTGGTCCCTGGCAACCACCATTCTACTTTCCAGCTCTAAGAATTTGACAGTTCTGGGTATGTTATATAAGTGGAATCACACAATATTTGTCCTTTTTATTTTTTTTGAGACAGGGTCTGGCTCTGCCACCCAGGCTGGAGTACAGTGGCATGATCTCAGCTCACTGCAACCTCCACCTCCCAGGCTCAAGTGATCCTCCCACTTCACACTCCCAAGTAGTTGGGAATACAGGCACGTGCCATCAGCATTACAGGCGTGCACTACTGGGCCCGACCGTATTTGTCCTTTTGTGTCTGACTTATTTCATTTAGCATAATGTCTTCAAGGTTTATCCAGGGCTAGGTGAGGTGGCTCATGCCTGTAATCCCAACACTTTGGGGGGCTAACGCAGGAGGATCACTTGGGGCAGAGTTTGAGTCCAGCCTGGGCAATGTCCGAGACTTCGTCTCTACAAAAACTATACAAATTAGCCAGACATGGTGATGTGTGCCTGTTGTCCCAGCTACTTGGGAGGCTGAGGTGGGAGGATCACTTGCGCCTAGGAAGTCGAGGCTGCATTGAGCTGTGTTTATACCACTTGCATTTTAGCCTGGAATGCAAGTGGTACCAACTTGCAAGGTCCTGTCTGAAAAAATAAAAAAGGTTCATCCAGGTTGCAGTATGTGTCAGAATTAGAAACTGATTCTTCCTGAGAGCTACAGAACCTTCAAATTCCCTTCCAATGCTAAGTTCCTCTTTCTCAGCAGGAAGATATGCCTTCTTTGATTAAGCAAGAGTGAGAACAGGACTGATCCAGCCTCCCGGTCTTCACCACACCGTCTTTGTATCCAGGCCCTTGAGACCTCAACTTTAGAGCTTCCTTGGCCCTCATTCGTTTGGTCATTTAACAGATACTTACTTGAGCTCCTGCTCTGTAGGTATCTTCTCCAGTCCTATATGGAGTGTTTATAATCCGACAGAAAAAAAAAGATATATAAATAAATGCAGCCAGACACGGTGGCTCATGCCTGTAATCCCAACACTTTGGGAGGCCAAGGCAGGAGGATTGCTTGAGGCCAGGAGTTCAAGACCAGCCTGGGCAACAAGGCAAGACCTCATCTCTACTAACAAAAAAAGAAAAAGAAATGTGAAGTAAGGTACTCACAGCTTCTAAGAGAGAAGTATTATGGAGCTCATGGCAACACAAGAGTAGGAGTTCATATGTAACTAAGAGAATGAGAAAAGTTTGTACAAGTGATTCTCTGAATCTTGACGTAAGAGTGAGTGTTCTCTGTGCAGAAACCAGGATCAGGCTGAAGCTCACCAGCCATCAGGCTCTGCCAGAGCCATGGCATAGAGGCATGACTCAGCTTTGTGTGTTTGTGAAACTGCAAGTGAGCTGGCCTGACTGGAGCACAGCATGTTGGAGAATGGAGGAAGAGAGGAAAACACCGTGAAAGAATAGACTTACTGGGAAGCTATAGAGGAAGGTTTGGGTCTGGTCAAAAAGTCCAGGTATGGTAGGTAAGGAATTGGATTTTATCCTCAGGACAATCAAGACCCATGGAAGGTTTTAAGAAGAGTAATGTGGTCAATTACATGTTTTTTACACCCTTTCTAATGGCTAGCGTAGGGAAGGTGAGACTGGAGGTGAAGCCAGTTAGGAGACTATTGCCTGAGACCAGGCGAGGGGTAACACAGTTACGGTGGGATAGAGGCAGCATTGTGCCTGAGCTAACTCAGACTGGCTCATGACAACTGATTGTCAAATCTTAAGGAATTTTGCAAGCTGGTTGTTAAGCCCAGTCATTCTTATAAATTAAATTATATAAACTTACAATTCAATAAATTATATTTTTCAGCCTGGGTGCAGTGGCTCATGCCTGTAATCCCAGCAGTTTGGGAGGCTGAGGCAAGTGGATCATTTGAGGTCAGGAGTTTGAGACCAGCCTGGCCAACATGGTGAAACCCCATCTCTACTAAAAATACAAAAATTAGCTGGGCGGTAGTGGCGCCTGCCTGTAATCTCAGCTACTCGGGAGGCTGAGGCAGGAGAATCACTTGTACCCGGGAGGCAGAGGTGGTGGTGAGCCGAGATCACACCACTGCACTCCAGTCTGGGCGACAGAGTGAGACCCTGTCACAAAAAAAAAAAAAAAAAGTTATATTTTT
The DNA here is from genome assembly GCF_000001405.40 of Homo sapiens. Lineage (NCBI taxonomy): Eukaryota > Metazoa > Chordata > Mammalia > Primates > Hominidae > Homo > Homo sapiens. The sequence goes on along the minus strand of NC_000009.12, from coordinate 37,061,155 downwards.
CAAATGGTAATAAATATTCAAAATTCACTTCCTAATTCTAGTTTTTTTGTTTTGTTTTGTTTTTGGAACACAGTCTTGCTCTGTTGCCAAGGCTACAGTGCAGTGGCACAATCATAGCTCTCTGTAAACTCAAACTCCTGGGCTCAAGTGAACCTCTCGGCTCAGCTTCCTGAGAAAGTGGAACTATAGATGTTCGCCACCATGCCTGCTACTTTACTATTTAACATTTTATAGAGATGGGTCTTCCTATGTTGCCCACACTGGTCTCAAATGCCTGGGCTCAAGCGATCCTCCTGCCTCAGCCTCCCAAAGTGCTAGGATCACAGGCATGAGCCAGCATGCCCAGCCCTAATTATTGTACTATTGTCTTAGCTCTAAAGGTAAGTTACCTCTATTTTATCTGTATGGTGGAGATGCTATATAATGATGTGCTGCTGCGCCTCTCTTCCCAACAAAGTGTTCAACACCATCGAGGTGGTAACTTGAAATCAACCACTGTGGGAATATTTATATACTAAGAAAATCAGCAGTTGCTTTACACCTGGACATTCTCCCCCTGAGAGCCAGTTATTAGCACGCCACTGCATGGGGTCTCTGTGGCCTGGAGACACATGCTCCAAGAAAGGGAAAGTAGTAGAATCTTTTGGCCATATCTGGGCTGGCAGAGTCAACGTGCTAGTTTGTAAGAACTCCCCTACTTTAGTAGCCTCTCTCTGTAGGGTTCTGTGCTGTTCTAAAGTCTATCACAGACCTTGCAGTAGGAAGGGAGTTTTTGTTGTTGTTGTTGTTGTTGTTGTTGTTTTTGAGACAGAATCTAGCTCTGTCACCAGACTGGAGTGCAGTGGTACAATCTCGGCTCACTGCAACCTCCGGTTCATGCCATTCTCCTGCCTCAGCCTCCCGAGTAGCTGGGACTACAGGCACCCGCCACCACGCCCGGCTAATTTTTTTGTATTTTTAGTAGAGATGGGGTTTCACCACATTAGCCAGGATGGTTTCGATCTCCTGACCTCGTGATCCGCCTGCCTTGGCCTCCCAAAGTGCTGGGATTACAGGCGTGAGCCTCTGTGCCGGGCCGGAAGGGAGTATTCTTTTAATTCCCAAGGACTTTGCTGGTTCTGTAGTGCCTGAAGTGCAGGGCCAAGGATGTTATTTGTCTTTTTTTTCTTTATTATTTATTTTAGTATTATTATTTAAAAGAGACAGTCTCACTATGTTGCCCAGGCTGGTCTTGAACTCCTGGGCTCAAGCAATCCTCCTGCCTTGGCCTCCCAAAGTGCTGGGATTACAAGTGTGAGCCACTGCGCCTGGCCCAAGGATGTTATTTGTTGGCCAGTAATTTGCAGTTGAGGGAGAATGGAACAGCAAAACTCCCGTCTTCATCCTACCTCTCTGAGGTTTTGACTGAATACGTCTGGACATCCTTGGAAAGATTTAACAGCAGTCACAGAGATATGTTAAGATCATATTTTCGAGGCCAGGCACGGTGGCTCATGCCTATAATCCTAGCACTTTGGGAGGCCAAGATGGGCAGATTGCTTGAGCCCAGGAGTTCAAGACCAGCCTAGCAGAATGTTGAAACCCTGTCTCTACAAAAAACACAAACATTAGCTGGGCATGGGGGTGTGCATGCCTGGAGTCCCAGCTACTTGGGAGGCTGGGGTGGGAGGATTGCCTGAGTCCAGGGAGGATGAGGCTGCAGTGGGCCGTGATTGTGTCACCTACACTCCAGCCTTGGCAGCAGAGTGACACACTGTGTCTCAAAAAAACAAAGGATCATATTTTCGTATTATAAATAATACCATCACTTTAGATTGGAGAAGGTTGGGGTGTTGAGGGTGGGAGCAGAGGCAAGGAGACCGGTTGAGCAACTGTGGTAGTCATCCTGGAGAGAGGTGACGAGAACTAAATCAGGGGAATGACATGGGGTATAGATCTGAGAGATGGAGCAGAGAAAGAATCAACAGTACATAGTGACTTGTTGGGGGTGGGGGAGGAGGGGAGAATCACTGGGTGGCTGGTGAAACCATTTATTGAGACAGAGAAACCAGAGAAATGGTAGATGTTTAAGGGGACCACTCTTGAACTCACTGACTTTGAAGTGCTGGGACATCCAGGTGCTAAAGCCTGGTGGGCAATTGGAGAGAGAAGAAAGGCACAGGAAGAGAGAGCTCTGCATCTACATGTGTTGTGTATTGGGGAGTCTTCAGTCAAGAGATGATCATTGCAATCTCGGGCAGGAATGAACTTACTGAGGGGCAATGTGTAGAGTGAGAAGAGAATCAAGGACAGCACCCTGGAGTTGAACCTCAAGGTTTAAGAGGCAGACCAGGGAGCTGAAGGATTGAGGGGGAAGGATTGGATACCATGGTAAGAGAAATAGGAGAAAACTGAGAGGGACTGGTGACTTTGGGAAGAGAGTTTGGGAGACAGAATTGATTGTGGTGTCTGATAACACTGGGAAAGAAAGGGAAATGAAAACTAGAGAGGCCACTGGATGTGTGGGGAGCTAGGGGGGCCCCGGAGCCCATCTTCAGAGCAGTCTGAGTGAAGTGGGGAGCAGAAATCAGAGTGCTCTGGATTGAGGAGGGTGTGGGAGATACGATTATGGAGGAACACACAGAAGGTCTTCTTATGAAGCCCATACTAGAGAGGGACCCAAGTCAAGGGAGGTTTGTAGATTTTTTACTGGATTTTTTACTGGATTTTTTAAGGTAAGAGAGACCTGAGCATGCTTATGGCTGTGGAAAAGTAGAGAAGAGGCTGAAGAGACCAGGAATTATCAATCAAGTGACCCATCGAGGTAGAAAAACCCTGGATTGGCAGATTACTCAAGCTTTTCATGTACACATGAATCATCTGGGGATCTTGTTAAAATTCAGATTCTCATTCAGTAGGTCTAGGGCGAGGCCTGAGAGTTTCCATTCTAAGAAGCTTCCAGGTGATGCTGATGCTTCTTGTCGATGAACCGCACTTTGGGAAGCAAGGCACTGGAGCTCTGAATTGCATTTGTGTGTCCATTTGTCCATCTCCGTCCCTAGACCCTGAAGCAGGATCCTTCCAGATAATCCCTACTGTCGAACACAGCACATGTCATATAAAAGTTTGTTCAATGCGGGCCAAGGGTGGTAGTTCACGCCTGTAACCCCAGCACTTTGGGATGCCAAGGTGGGAGGATTTCCTGAGCTCAGGAGTTCAAGACCAGCCTGGGCAACATGGCAAAACCCTGTCTCTACCAAAAATACAAAAATAATAATAATAATAATAATAATTACCAGGCATGGTGGCACATGTGTGTAGTACCAGCTACTCAGGAGGCTAAGGTGGGAAGATCGCTTCAGCCTGGGAGGCCGAGGTTGCAGTGAGCTGAGATCTTACCACCTATACTCCAGCCTAAGTGACAAAGTGAGACAAAACCCTCTCAAAAAAAAAAAGAGTTTGTTGAATGCATTAAAAGCATGTTGAATATGAAAGACATTTAATAGGTACTACCTATAACTATAAAAAGTGGGGAGGTACCCTAAAGTACAATAACATGAGAATGGGTAAGTAAATTATAGTACAAGTGAGTATACTTCAGAATAGTCTTAAATAATTAAGGTGGTCATTATGAAGTCCATATAATAATGTGGGGAAATTCCTATGATACAGTTTTAGAAGGCATGTGAATTTTTGCTTATCATAGCCACTGTGGGATATTATGCATTTGGACAAAAACTAGAACAGAACAGAAAATAATCAGCAAGTTTGATTACTTGGAGCAATAGGATGATGGAAACATTTTTCACTTGGATTTCTGTGGATGTTACAAAAATTCAGGCAAAAAAAAAAGCAACACCTATGAAAGAAAAGAAATTAAACGTGCATGTTCTAATTGTGGAAAATCAAAACAGAGATAAGTAAACCCCACATATGGTGGCTTAGATTTGGGATTGTATGTACTGTTTAAAAATATATAGGCAGGGCATGATGGCTCACACCTGTAATCTCCTCCCTTTGGGAGGTCGAAGTGGGTGTATCACGTGAGGTCAGGAGTTTGAGACCAGCCTGGCCAACATGGTGAAACCCCGTCTCTACTAAAATACAAAAATTAGCTGGGTTTGGTGGCACGTGCCTGTAATTCCAGCTACTCAGAGGCTGAGGCATGAGAATCACTTGAACCCAGGAGTTGGAGGTTGCAGTGGGCTGAGATCGAACCACTGCACTCTAGCCTGGGTGACAGAGGGAGACTCTGTCTCAAAAAAAAAAAAAACATATATATCTATCTATATATGTATATATACACACACATGTTAACTTTTCTTTACACAATTACTCATCATGATTTTGACAGCATCTCTCTTCCTTTGTCCCTTCTTTCCTTCCTTTCTTTCCTTTTCTTATGCTTTCCCTCTCCCCTCCACTTTTTAAGACATCTCTCCCTTAAGGAATTCCCATTCCCATTCCCATTCCATTCCCTTAAGGAATCCCAGTGATAGCTCATCAAAGAAGCACATGAATAGCTGACATTATGTAATGCTTTGACATTTGGCATTCCCAAGGCATTACCCCACCCCTGATGCAGAATAAGTTGTCAGAGCATGAAATTGGTATTTTTACATATTCTTAATGTACAGATGTCAGTCTGAAAACCATTCGCTAGTATTATGATTACATTCTTTGTCTCATTTTCTTTGTATGCCAAGATTTGTTTTTGTGATTTCTTTTCTTTTGGGAGTTTCAAAGAGGGAAGACAAAACTTTAATAATTCAGTTTACTGATGCCGCCAAAAGGAAAAAGCAAACTTTTAAGTCTCTGACCACTTTTGGCAATGATACTCCTGGCACAGAAGTAAAGATGTAACAAGAAGGAACAGATGCAAACTGGAAATACAATCAGTGGCCCACTCAGCTTGTTCCAAATCAAATATGCCTGCAGTTTACAAGTTTGTTACTCTGTGTTAATCACATAAATGAATAGCCTAGGCTTATGGGAGGAACCCTGTGCCTAAAAAATAATAACATTGTGGAAAATACACAAGATAAGAACCAGAAGGGATTTAGAAACACCCTGGTCCATTCTCCATGTATTCAGTGATGCAGGGGTGAGGGGGAAAATATATTCTAGGTGTGGTCAAGGAAGGTCTCCCTGAGGAGACGACATTAAGTGGAGACTTGAAGGAGAAGGAGCTGGGCATGCAGAAAGCCAGAGGGTAGAACATTCTAGGCAGAAGGAATAACAAGAACTAAGGGTCTGAGAAAATAATAATTCCTAACATTTATTTAACACTTAATATGTGCCTGGCGCTATTCTAAACACATTACATATATTACCTCACATATTCTTTTTTTTTTTCAGAGACTGGGTCTCACTCCGTCACCCAGACTGGAGTGCAGTGGCATGATCATACATAGCTCACTGCAGTCTCAAACTCCTGGGTTCAAGCGATCCTTTCGTCTTGGCTTCTCAAAGCACTGGGATTACAGGTGTGAGCCACGGAGCCCAGCCTACCTCATGTGTTCTTCACAGCAGCTCTATGAGGCAGAGAATATCATTGTCTCCATTCTATAGGTGGGGAAATGAAGCACACCACAGTTAGGTAACCTCCCCAAGGCTGAACAGCTAGTAAGTGCGAGAGCTGGGATTCTAACCCAGCAGTACAATTCCAGAGTCCATATGCTTAACCATTTTGCCATGCTGACAAAGTTGGGGCTGAACCCCTAGTCTCCTGACTTCTACTTCAATGCCTATCCCAGTTATATACATGTATATAGGTACTTATACACACTCCCAACTTTCCCTCTCAGGAGTCTATATAAACAAGGGACATCTGAAGGTGCCTTCTCTAATCAAGTTGCTAGAATTGAGATGCCCATGGGGAATCTGTGTTGGCACTCCACCCTGAGGGGCGCAGTCACCCTGAAGACATAGGCTTCATGTCTCATGTGGAAATTTCCTAGGTGTATCCCCCAGTGCAGGCAGCCCTGGGAAAACTGGTTGAAGATGGTGGCAAGGACAGAATCGATGGCTCATTGACAGTCTGTTTGGGGCCTGAGATGAAAGCTTAGGGCTATGGTAGATTCAGCTCAGTGATATGTGGTCAGAGTCGAGGCCATCCAAAGGAGAGAGGTCATGGACCATGGTTGTCATGAAAAACTTCTAGAACTGGCCAGAGCTCCACAAGGAAGGACTTGAGCTAAATTGGCAAGTTGTTAAGAGCTCCAGGTTGTTTGAGACCCATACTGCTTCCTACCTGCGTTTCACTTCATTCATTCATTTGTGCATTTAATTATTATTTTATCTGGCCATTTATTCATTCAACAAATTTTTACCCTGTGTCTGCCACATGCCATTCCTCTGCTAGGCAGTGAGATACAAAGATGTAGTCCCTATTCTAGAGGAGCTCAAAGTCTAGAGAGATGGGAGAGGGCATAGTTCAGAGAAGAATTCCTGGGGAAGGCAACACTGAATAGAGTCTCTCTGGAAAGAGTAGAGAGGGAAGACCAGTGAAGACAAAGGAAACAGCAAATGCAAAGCTACACTGACATGAGGGAGCCTGGCTCAGTTGGATACATGCAAATCTTGCTCATACACCATGAAAACTGAATATGGAGGGTGTGAGTATCAAGGGTATAGAGCAAAGCCAGAAAGAGAAATGTGCTACCCCGCCTTTGTTACAAGGCAGTGGTTAAGCAATACAGGAGAAAGTGGAGAGGATGCCGGCCTGGGGATCTGGAGACTGGGGTCCAACCTGAGCTCTGTGCTAATTGAGGAGGTGACCTTGGACAGGTCTCTTCTGCTCTCTGGACTTCAGTTTGACCCTTTGTAAAATGACAGGGTAGGATTATGGTGATGTCTTAGGGGCTGTCTTCCAGCTCTATCATTCTGTGATTCTAAATCCCTTTATAACAAACTCTAGGAGAGGAGCTTTTCTCTTGCAAATGGAGTGTAAAGTTAATCCTGCCTGTGCTGATGCTAACTAATGTGTGTGTGTGGTTTATCCCACTTCATTAAACCCTGACTCCCCACAGAGCAATGCATGAGGCAGCCCAGGCAGGTAAATACTAAAGTGTTGCTGAACTGGGTCTCCTAGTGGAAAATGATTTCCCCTAACTCTTTCTCAAGTTTACCAACACAAAGCATATAACCCCCATTTTCCACACTGTTACCTTGCCACATGTGCAGATTTTAGACCCAATCGTAGAGTATGGTAAGTCGTGTCCTCATACTTCATTTATGTCGGCATCCTCCACAACCCCCACCATGCTGCCAGTGACATCATCGTTTTCCATATGAAGAAACTAAAGCTCAGACAGATTAGACCACTTGGTAGGAGAGACACAGTCCCATGTGATGTGTGACCCATAAAGTGAGGGCAATGCTTCTGTTGACTGAATACTCGCCAAGGGGTGAAAAAATGACAAGCTTTCAGGTAAAGTTCCCAGGTGAAAAACTTCCCCAAGGTTCTTACCTTTTGTGAAGATCTTGCAGGTTCCAAGTCACTTTTTTCTTTTTTTTGAGACAGGCTGTCACTCTGGAGTGTAGTGACGTGATCTTGGCTTACTGCTGCCAGGTGATCCTCCTGCCTCAGCCTCCCGAGTTGCTGGGACTACAGGCATTACCTTGCCCAGTTAATTTTTTATTTTTTGTAGAGATGAGGATCTGCCATGTTGTCCAGGCTAGTCTTGAATTCTTGGTCTCAAGTGATCCTCCTGCCTCCACCTCCCAAAGTTCTGGGATTACAGATGTGAGCCACTACACCCAACCACTTTTTTTTTTAAGACTAAAAGAGAACACTCATTCTAGGTTGTCAGTTGAAAACAAATGCTAATTGTCTTGGGTTCCCTGAATTCTTCTTTTATTGTGAAGTATAGTGCAGATACTGAAAATGCAGAAAGCATATGTATATAGTTTAATGAATAATTAAAAGTGATCCCTGATAATCCCCATCCTAGTAAGGATATAGAATATAATGTTGGGTGAAAAACAAGACACAGAGAATACATCCAGTATAATCCCATTTATATGAAGTTAGTAAAACTGACAGGCTCGACGTTTGGCTGAAGCGGCCCACTCTTTGCATGGTCCTATGCTGTATCTAGACCTGACAAGACTTTGTCCTCTTTCACCTCACTGAGGATGAACCAACCCTCTGAGGACAGAGAGGGATAGAGGCATTGAATGTTAAAGCTGGAAGCCAGGCACAGTGGCTCATACCTGTAATCCCAGCACTTTGGGAGGCCAAGGCGGGCGGATCATGAGGTCAGGAGTTTGAGACCATCCTGGCCAACATGGTGAAACCCCGTTTCTACTAAAAATACAAAAATTAGCTGGGCATGGTCGCGGGCACCTGTAATCCCAGCTACTAGGGAGGCTGAGGCAGGAGAATCGCTTGAACCTGGGAGGCGGAGGTTGCAGTGAGCCGAGATCGTGCCACTGCACTCTAGCCTGGGAAACAGAGCAAGACTCTGTCTCAAAAAAAAAAAAAAAAAAAAAGCAGCTGGAAGGACTATCCTGTGACATTCATTCACTCAATCATTCTCATTTCTCAGATACTTTTGGGGATTTACTATGTAGGGGGTCTCTGAGGGATAAGGTATCGGGGATCTTTCATAGATCTTGTCTTGGAGGAACAGAAAAAGCTGGAATAAGTTGAGTCCTAAATGGAAGAAAGGAGTAGGGGTTGAGGAGGTGCCTGGCTCTGGGCCAGAACACACCCTCAGCCCCTCTGAAAGAGCTGGAGGGGTGGGACCCACCAAGGGTAGAAGGCAGAAGAGATTCCCTAGGCCTCAGGAAGAATGGGTACGCTACCGCAGATGAACCCAACCAGCCTCCCTGACCAGTCTCTGTATTCAGTCACCAAAGGATTTATGTGCAATGAATCCCAAAGGAATCAGAATTAGGCTGCAGAATGTGAGAGGAAGGCCCTGAGACTGCCTGCTCCAGTGCCTTTACTTTGTGGATAAAGAGACTAAGGTCCAGAGTGAAGTGACTTTTTTTTTTTTTTTTTTGAGATGGGAGTCTTGCTCAGCTGCCCAGGCTAGAGTGCAGTGGTGTGATCTCGGCTCACTGCAACCACCATCTCCCGGGTTCGAGTGATTCTCCCATCTCAGCCTCCGGAGTACCTGGGATTATAGGCACCTGTCATTATGCCCGACTAATTTTTGTATTGTTGTATAGATGGGGTTTCACTATGTTGGCCAGGCTGCTCTTGAACTCCTGACCTCAGGTGATCCACCCGCCTCAGCCTCCCAAAGTTCTAGGATTACAGGCGTGAGCCACTGCGCCTGGCATGGCTTTTCCAGTGTCCCCTGGATAGCTTGAGGGGAGCCCTAGGACTCAAATCCAGAATCCTGCCTCCCTTACCAGTGTTCTTCTTCTGCCCAGACACACAACAGTATTTTCCAAGATGAGTTTTTAGAATCATCAGTTTTGATGGTCATGAAATCTGGAAAAGATCTTAGTGGTAATCTGTCTAGTTCAGAGGGTCCCAAACCTGCCTGATCATCAAATCACATGAAAAATTTGTTTTTAAAATTGTAGATCCTGGGACCCCAGCCCCCAGAGATTAGGGTTTTGGGGTCTGATAGAACTGGAATTTAGTAGGGCAGTTTGGCCATGTGTATATTTTAAAGCTCCCACTTCCTACCCTCCACTTGCAGCTGATACTGATGATTAGCAGGTGGATGCTATCCAGTTAACAGAGGAAGAAACTGAGGCCCAGATTCGGCGAGGTAGAGTGACTGTGCAAGATCACATGTCATCCCATCACAAATTCTTCTATTGTTCAGAATAGAATTGAGCCAGGCTGCATGTCTAAGAGCCTTGACATATTAATAGTGTTTTCTCTCAATATTGTTTTTTTTTGGTGTACACGTTTCATTTTTTGAAGCTGCTTAAAAGATTCCTAGCCATGCTGCCAGGCACTCAGATTTGTGCAATGTTTACAATGACTTTGTTGTTCATTAAACAAATTTACCTAGACTAACCCAACATGAGAGAAATCATCTTGTTTACAGTGAGATCCTGACAAAAATACGTGTAGCAAAGACAGACAAACACACATAAACCTGGATTGCCGGGTGGGACATGATTTGCTGCCACATTCAATTTTTCTCATTAGAACTTGTTTTATTTGAGCATGACTCAGTACCCCGTGTAAATGCGAGGTTGTTAATCTTATTACTATATGGAAAACAAATTAATTAGTATGCATGCTTTTGAGATGAGTTTTTAGGTTGGTGTTGGAAAGATTAGGAAAATACACTCATTACTCCAAATGGTATCTGATAATACACATCTGACTTCCACTTTAAGATCTGTTCCAATATATGGGCAACAAATATAGCTAATAAAAATCAAGCTTTTGGGCTCAGCAGCTAAATGTTCATGTTGGCCAGATCTATACACATGTTGACCTTCTTTGTTTTAAAACAAAAGACACTTTGTCACTGTCCATCAGCCGGAGACTCACCTGCAACAGGCAGTTTCTCAGGTCCCAGCTCCCATCCAATATCCAAACTCAACTCAGAGTGACCTCTTTCCTCTGCTTGCCTACCATACTTCCTATCTCTTCCCAGTGCACCTGCTCCCTTCTTTCAGCAGCCATAATGAACACACCTCATTTTTGCAGGAAACTGTATGCTCCCCAAGGGTAGAGACTATCTTCCAATTGGAGATTTAAATGCGTATCGATCAGAATACCCCGCTGCAGGAAAAATATACGAAGAAGAACAAGGAAGCCCTTAAAGTACCAGTGTGGAACAATCACCAAGATATATCATTAAGCGGAAACATAACTCTGCAAGAATACGGTAACACTGATTACAAGGTTACCAGGGAGGTATACCGGGTGGTTGAGGGGCAGAGGTAGGAAGAGACTTCCGGGTGGTTGAGGGGCAGAGGTAGGAAGAGACTTTCCCTCAGGTTCTCTCTGTACCTTTTAAATTTGAGCCATATGTATGTACTCCCTAGTCCAAAAAGAAGAGCAAATTATAATTTAAAAGTAAAATCTAGTAAAAAGAAAATATTTGCTCAACATAAAACAACAGTGACCAAAACACACACACACACAAAAACCCCACCAAAACAAAATAAAAATAAACAAATGTCATTTGGGGTATTACACTTTGGAAAGTCCTTTAATAAATAAATCTGTTTCACATTAGCTTAGTGTTACCGAGACTTGTTTCACCAGGGAATTCCAAAAGAAACATAAGGTATCTAGTGTTTCTCAGATAGTTCTCACTGCTTTTAAAAAATACTCACTTATGGGCCAGATGCAGTGGCTCACGCCTGAAATCCCAACACTTTGGCAGGCTGAGGCAAGAGGATCACTTGAGCCTAGGAGTTTGAGACCAGCCTGGATAACATAGTGAAACCTCATTTCTACAGAAAATTAAAAAAAAAAAAAAAAAAAAAAAAAGAGGCAGGAGCATCACTTGAGCCCAGGAGGTTGAGGCTGCAATGAGACGTGATTGTGCCACTGCACTCTTACCTGGGCAACAGGAGTGAGAAAACAGAAACTATACTTATGAATATCTCACAAAACACAAGTGACCCACTGATGTGCTCTAGGCAACATTTTAAACCAGGGCATAGATCCTAACTCTGCTGCCAGCTCTGTGAATGAAACTGGGCAAGTCCTTTCCCTTCTTTGGGCCTCAGTTTCTCCATCTCCAAAATAAGCCAGTGGTATGAGATTCTCTCTGACATTCCTTCCAGCTTTGAAGGTGAGAGATTCTCCAGCAAAAAAAATATATCAAAAGTCTCCTCCAAACTAAGCACGTGCTTTAAGTAGCAATTGGAGGCTGGCAGAGGATGATGATACTTGTTAAAGAGAAGTTACAAACATACCTGATGTAAACACGTTTCCCAGCTTCTCCAAAAACCTGGGGGATTAAAAAACAAAATAAACCCCAGAAAACATTCCAGGAGGTTATAAGAAACCAATGCATCATCTTTGGTTCACGACAGTTGATGATATTACCAAAGTCTCAGCACTTCCACTTACTCACTGTCCAGCCTATTGGGGAAAACCCTGGTTTGAGACTCAGTTTCCTCAGCTATAAAATGGGTATAATAATTGCTTTGGCGCTTTCCCAAATTCTTGGTATAGGCACTTAATTTATGACAGCAACAGAGATAAGAGAATAGAGATCCTGCGACAGGCTTGTCAAGCCATTTGTCAAAATGAAGTAAAAACATTGCTTATCAAGTTACATTTCATTTGTTGGTAGATTTCCCTTGGTTGTGGCAAGAGCATGGTATGAGACTATCCTCCTCATCCATTACTAGAGGCAAAGTAAATGTATAAAATCCTTTGGCAAAGCGATTTGCCCATATATATCAAGAGCCGTGCAAGCATTCAGGCCCTTTGACCCAGCAAAATCTAGATCCGGGGATTTTAAAGAAATGGCAAAAATAGGAGAATGTGATATGTATGAAGACATGCACTTTGGGATTATCTGTGATAGTGAAAAATGGGAGTCCTTCTAAATATATAATACTAGGGAATGATATATCCACTTAAAAGAGTATTAAGCAGCCATTAAAATAATTATTAAAACATTTATTTTTAAATGATAATCATGAAAACCTGTGGCATTATAATGATAAACTGTCAGGTGTGAAAGCCGAATGAATGCGAGGCTGTAACTACACTCATAAATCAACTATGTAAATTTTGCCTGAAGTAAGAGGAACACTGAACAGTTCATTTGTTAGGGTGGTAGGATTATGGATAATTTTCTTTCCTTTTAATTTCCCTTATTGTTGTAACATTGCAAACTAAATAAAAATCTGGGAAAAAATACAATGAAGGCAACAGACAGGTACATTGTGTTGTATCCTTCGTAAATCCTTTCACTGAAGAACGGGATTAAATGTGGCTTACCATAGCAAATCATAAAATAAGACTCACATTTTGCATTTCCTCTAGACCCTCCTACCCTTCTGAGAATAAATTAAAATATAAACACCAGAGTTGAGTTTTTAAAATCCAGGATTATCTCATTATTCTATTTATAACATATAAGGAGAGAAAATACACTTTTTTCTTCTGGATTAAAAGTTTCCCTGGCCAAGTTCTGTATGTCTGTTCTTCCCTATTGGCAGGTCAAGGGTCCCCATTCCTACCACAGGAGTTTATCAACCTGTTGACTTTGCTCAGCTATCGCACAGATGGTGGTGAAATCATTAGATTGAAGGAAACCCAACAGTTCTTGCTTTGTGAAATGAGCATGCTATTTCTGGCCAGGCTACAAGCTCGGTCTGGTATCAGGATCTCCTGAGATGATGTGCAGGAAGGCACAGAAGTGCTTTGCAAATCCTCCAAAGCTGTGACCATCTGGATCTTTTTTCTTTAGGAGTCAATGTAACATAATGGAGGACTACAGGGATAGAGTGGACTTAGGGGAGTGGGGAGACGGGGCCTGGGTTTTAGGCAACCCGAAAGTGTTAGTGGTCAAACGATTTGTGTGGAAAATCAGACTGGCTTTCAAATTCCAGCTCTGCCATCTCCTAACTGTGTGATCCTGGGCAACTTCCCAGGTCTGAGCCTCAGATTTGAGGCTTCATCTGTGAAACCGGAGTACTAACAAAACCTGCTGCACAGGTTTGTTTTGAGGATGGAATATGATCATGTATGCAAAGCACAGTGCCCAGTGATGTCCAAGAGATGTCCCTTTTCTCATTAGTCTTGCCCCTCCCATGAACTCACTGTAGAACCTTTGGCAATTCTATTTCCTTCTCTGGGCCTTAGTGTCTCCATCTGCAAAATGGGAGAAGGGATGGACTCAGCTGTCTCCCACAGCCGTTTTAGCATATGGGCCTATGATTTCACAGTGGTTCTTGTAGCAATGTCCTTTTCTTTTCTTTTTCTTTTCCTTTTGCAGTTTTTATTTAAACAGAAATAAAATGGGCACATGGGCTGTCTATTCATTTTCTTTGCTGCATAGCCTTGCTTTGTGACTGGTGAGTCTGATGGCCAGCTGGGCTGCTCTTTCCACAATTGCTTTGTGGTTCTTGGAGGAAACATTGTAAGCGATCTCAGCACAGTAAGATTTGTTGCACCTCAGCAGCACTTCCAGCTCCTTGACGTTGTGGACCAGGAACTTCTGTAAGCTACTGGGCAGCATGTGCTTTGTCTTTTTGTTGCTCCCATAACCAATGTTGGACATCAAGAGCTGGCTCTTGAACCTTCTCTGAATCCTGTTGTCAATACCTCTAGGTGTCTGCCAGTTACACTTAATTTTGACATATCAGTCTGACTGCTGCCGGATGAATGTCTTGTTCCTCTTTTTGAAAATCTTGGGCTTCATGAGGGGTCTGAGGGCAGCCATGATGTGAGTAGGAGGTTGCTGCCACCTCCACAGGCAGCACCGAGGAAGAAAGGGCAATGTCCTTTTATTTTCTGAGACAGAGTCTCACTCTGTTGCCCAACCTGGAGTGCAGTGGTGCGATCTCGGTTCACCGCAACCTCTGCCTCCCGGATTCAAGCTGTTCTCCTGCCTCAGCCTCCCAGGTAGCTGGGATCACAGGCACAGGCCACCACGCCTGGCTAATTTTTGTATTTTTAGTAGAGATGGGATTTCACCATGTTGGCCAAGCTGGTCTCAAACTCCTGACCTCAAATGATCTGCCCACCTCAGCCTCCCAAAGTGCTGGGATTTCAGGCATGAGCCACCGTGCCGGGCAGCGAATGTCCTTTTAAAAATAGATTGTATGCGAATGTGTATCTCAATGGGACACAGCCAGGGGAATGGGGTTGCAGAAGTTTTCTATAAGATTAGGCTCTCAGCTCCATAATCCTGCCCTTGCTTTACTCCTGAATGTGCTTCCTCTAGTTAACATTCCAAAACCACCATCCCTTCCAAATGGGGTTATTCCAAAGACATCCAAAGACATAGAGGAGATGTTTTAATGCCCTTCAAAGTGGCACAGTGAGGGTTCCCGTGAAAAGATCTGTCTGAGCAGATCTCTTCCTCTGGAATTTCAGAGCAGATTTTTTTCACAGGATCCTTTGCTGTGCCACCTTGTTTGTTCTTTCCTGAGGGTGATGACTCCCAAAGAGCAGAACTTAGACCAGTGGCAAGAAGCTTTATGGAAGCTAATTTGTGCTCAGTGAGGGAAAGGACTGCCTAGAAGGCAAGGGGTTCATAAGCTCACTGTCCCTGGAGGTATTCAACCTTAGAATGGACCACTGTTCACTGGGATGCTATAGAGAGGCCAGCCTGGATACAGTTCATACAATTAAATAAGGCCCACTACCCAAAGTCCCTATGCTACTAATGAACTATTTACCAATTAATTATCACTTAATTAGCAATATAGATGATCCCAAACTTATGATGGTTTTACTTAGGACTTTTCCACTTTACAATGGTGTGAAAGCAGCATGTGTTGAGTGGAAATCATACTAAATTCTGAACTGTGCTCTTTTCCCTGGGTATCATACCAGAATATGCAGTAAGACACTCTCTCAATGCTGGGCAGCAGCAGGGAGCCTCAGATCTCAGTCAGCCCCATGATCACAGGGCTAAACTATTGACACTCTGTAATGTGTTGTGTGGCCAGATGATTTTGCCCTACTGTAGGCTAATGTAAGTATGCTGAGTATGTTTAAGGTAGGCTAGGCTAAGCTATGGTGTTCGGTAGGTGTATTAACAACATTTGTGACTTAAGGTATCTTCAGTTTACGGTGGGTTTATCAGGATGCAACCCCATTGTAAGTTGGGGCACTTTGTACATTAATTTTTTTTTTGAGACAGTGTCTCACTCTGTCACTGAGGCTGGAGTGCAGTGGTGCCATCACGGCTCACTGCAGCCTCAACCTCCCAGGCTCAAGTGATCCTGCCATCTTAGCCACCTGAGTAGCTGGGGCTACAGGCATGCATCACCACCCCTGGCTAATTTTTGTAATTTTTTCTAGAGACAGGGTTTTGCCATGTTATCCAGGCTGATCTCGAACTCAAGCGATCCACCCACCTTAGCCTCCCAACTGCTGGGATTACAGGAGTGAGCCATTGCGCCCTGCCTGTACATTAATTAATAAACTACTGGTTGCACCATCTTAAATGCTCTGGCCTATTCTAGTTTCTCTCTCAGAAGAATGCCCACTGGAAGGCTCCTGAGGGTGGGGGTTGGTGGAGAATCAGACTGAACACTTAGGACTTATCTTTCTGAGCCTTCTTTTCTACAGAGTGAAATTCTTTCTGCAATTTATAGGGTGTGTGTCTGTGTGCGTGTATGTGTGTGTGTATATACACTAGAGTTCACCTCATTAATGCATTATCGACTGCAATTTTGTCTCTTCATTTTTCCTTTAGGATCTGAGGGTATTTTTCTGCCTTTCAGCTGTGGCCAGCTGTGTTTTATCCCAGCAAGTCTAGATCTGACATTGTCTTTTCAGAATTTTAGCAGCAGTACCATGACAGCTGTTAACCTTATGGCTCTCAGATGTGCTTAAGGTGAATTTTTTGTTCTTTGCTTTCTCTCTTTCAGCGCTGGAAAAGGATACTTTAAAAACAAACACAATTTTTCAACCCATGAGTACTGTCGGCCTCTTCCTATACATACCTACATTCATACCTCCTGTCCAATGCTGGGCCATTGGCTCCTCTACCAAAGGAGAAATGCATTTAGGTTACCAAAAAAGGTTTTCTGCCGGGCACGGTGGCTCACACGTGTAGTCCCAGCACTTTGGGAGGCCGAGGCGGGTGGATCGCAAGGTCAGGGGTTTTAGACTAGCCTGGCCAGCAAGGTAAAACCCCATCTCTACTAAAAATACAAAAATTAGCCAGGCATGGTGGCAGGCGCCTGTAATCCCAGCTACTCTGGAGGCTGAGGCAGGAGAATCGCTTGAACCTGGGAGGCAGAGGTTGCAGCGAGTCGAGATCATGGCATTGCACTCCAGCCTGGGTGACAGAGCAAGACTCCGTCTCAAAAAAAAAAAAAAAAAAAAAAAAAAAAAAAAAGATTTTCTGTAAGCAGCATTGGGGAATTCCAAACCCATCCTAACAATACTTTGTGAAGCAAATCCCAGCTGTTATATCATTTGGTCCTCACAATTGCCATGAGAAATAGGTTGAGTGGGTGGCACTTATTCTGCCCATTTTATAGGTTAGCAAACTGAGGGGCACAGAGGTGACGTCATGCTTCTAGGATGTGGTGAAGTGAGAGCTAGAGTCATGGGCTGCAGAGGACCAGTTCAGGGAGGATTTTACCTTCACCACATTTATTCATTCATCAGACTCTCAAATGAGCATTTTTATGTGCAACTCCTGTGCTGTTTTTGGGGTTGCAAAGAGGGATCAGACACTGTCTCACTGCTTTCATGAGAGGAAGGGAAGAGGACAAGGAGCCATGACAGTGTGACAAAGGCATTCACATAAGTGTGGCACCCAGGGGGAGTCTGATATGCTCACTAGTGGAATAACCCTAGACAGAGTGCAGACAGAAAAGCCCACAAAAGCAGGCATAGTGACTCCTGCTCAGCCAGGGAGGCCAGCAAGAGAGTCTTGCAAATCTCCAAAGGAAGTTCGGATGTTCCCGTGAGTGTTACCTGGGAGTAGCAAACCCTGGGGTGTGTAAGTGGATCAGACCTTAAGATTGCTCTAGGCTGGGTGTGGTGGCTCATGCTTGTAATCCCAGCACTTTGGGAAGCCAAGGCAGGTGGATGGCTTAAGCCCAGGAGTTCGAGACCAGCTTGGACAACCTGGTGAAACCCTGTCTCTACAAAAAATACAAACATTAGCAGGGCATGGTGGCTCATGCCAGTAGTCCCAGGTATTCAGGAAACTGAGGCAGGACAATCACTTGAGCATGGGAGATCAAGGCTGCAGTAAGCCATGGTGGGACCACTGCACTCCAGCCTGGGTGACAGAGTGAGACCTTGTCTCAAAAAAAAAATAAGATTAATGCAGTCCTTGAGGACTCTTGTTTCCTCAACTGGTCTCAATTTCATCACCAGGGAATTCTCTCTATTCTCCTGCCTTGCCAGTTCTTAAATAAGCCAAGCATTTTCTCCCTCCGAGCCATTGCTCATCATATTGAACTGTTGGTCTGTAGCATCCTTTTCCCTTTCTTTTCCAACTCACTCTTCCAGATCAAATGCTGCCTCCTTTAAGAAATCTTCATAGATTTCCTTAGCAGGAAGGGAGGACTCCACTTTTGTTTTCCTAATTGTATATAATTAAAAGCCTGGGCCAGGTGCAGTGGGTCATGCCTATAATCCCAGCACTTTGGGAGGCCAAGGTGGGCGGATCACTTGAGGCCAGGAGTTGGAGACCAGCTTGGCCAACATGGTGAAACCCTGTCTCTACTAAAAATACAAAAATTAGCCAAGTGTGGTGGTGTGTGCCTGAAATCCCAGCTGCTTGGGAGGCTGAGGTACAAGAATCACTTGAACCTGGGAGTCAGAGGTTTCAGTGAGCTGAGATCGTGCCACTGCACTCCAGCCTGGGGGACAGAACAAGATAGTCTCAAAAAAAAAAAAAAAAAAAAAAAAAAGCCGGATCAAGTTCTTCTGTGGATTAAAGGCTTATTTCTTCAGTGTGGCTTCGAGCAACTTGAGGCAGGAGGCTCTCATCTCCCTCCAGGACTAAGCACAAGGCTGTCTTTGCTGAATAGAATTGAATTAAAATGAGAGGAAGGGGGCACATCCATTACCAAAGTCAGACTTTTTTTGGTCCTTTTGGGGCAAATCAGGAATGGTTTGTCAATATGGCTGCTGATACTTTGGGGATCTGGATGTTGCCAGCCTCACAAATTCTCGTTCAGGGTGTTTAGACAGGTGTAGACCTGGTGAGTGGGGCAGGGGTCAGTGAATCACAGTGGCTTAGTGCTTGCTCTGAAAAAGCTTTTAAGCCAGTGTTTCTCAATGGATGGTCCAGGTACTTCCTGCACCCTACTCACCTGGGGAAGTTACTAGACGTTCAGGTTCCAAGCTCGGTCTCATAGCACTAAACCAAGCTCTCTGGGGCTGGGGCCCAGGGATCTGCATGTGATTCTTCTCACACTGAAGTGTAGAAGCTACTGTTATAAGGGAACAGAATGACTTACTTCCAGAAGAGCTGGTGCCCAAAGGAGAAGTCCTGCCCATGGGAGCCAGGAGACTAGGAGGAGTGGTGAGAACTGGACACAGACACTTCATCTCCAACCCATAAGGTAACAGGAAGGGTGAGCTCAGGGCTACGTGGCCTGAGCAGAGAATGGTGGCCACCAGCTGCGGCTCTGGGGGGGGTCTTTACAGCCTGAGAGGATTTGGTAAAGTTCATGAGGAGCATTCCAGGCTGAGGGTGGTTGGTTTGCTTTTCCAGACTGAGGTTGTTGAGGGAACTTTGTGCAAACTTCCCAGGGGAGAAGGTTAAAAAAAAAAAATCCAAAAAACTGATGGAGAGTAAGCTTTGCTATGTTTCTCTCCTTTGGTCCTAGGGCCTTTCTCTTATTTCTTCCCTTTGGCCTGTGGGTCCATTTACTCCATATGGTAAGGAGAGAATATGTCTTAGCTGCTGCTCTGGCCATCTTCATGAGGTACAGCAGGGGCCTGCCCACTCTAGCCATCTTCCTTCCTTTGTCCCGTTCCTCAAACCATTGTGAATTCCTTCCCTCAGAAGCATTTGCCATTCCTACATTGTTCCCAAACCCTTGGGCAGCTCTTTTTTCAGTATTTTGCTTGTATGTTGATATCCAGTAGCCTCTTCTGCAAAGTGCAGATCTTAGTTATGCCATCTGCTCCTTATTTATCTAGCAAAGTCCTACTTACCCTTCAACACTCATCTCAGGTCACCCTCTAGAGATGTCCCCTCCAGCCTCCCCCTTTCCAGAGTCTGGCTTCAGTACCTGGCACAGTTCTCCCAGATCTCTCTTGCTTGCACACATCTTCACTCTCTTACCATCTAAGTCGAGGCCTGTTTCCCTTCTGGACGGGGCCTGGTGCCCATTGTACTGTGGCTCCTAACCCAGGGCTGTGCACCCCTTTCCAGGGTGGCTTCGAGGATCAAAGGATGTTGTGTGAGGCTTGCTGAAGGCATCTCTGCAAATGTTCTTGCCCTCCTCCCTGGCTCTCATGACAGGGGAGGGTACTGAGCTGACTCCTTAGGCCGAGGGGGCAGGGAACACCAGTGACTCAGGCTTTCTGACGGGGTTTGGAGAAAGAGTGGAAGTCTATTCACTTGGGGTGTGTGTTCCTTCAGGACCAAGGAGCATGACCCCACCCCTTGCCACCCTCTCCCCTCCACGCCAGCTGGGATTCAGCTTCAGCCTGGGTGGCCAGAAGGGGCAGAGTTTTCCTTTGGGTCTTGGAAGCTGCCCCAGGTGGTACCCCCAGGCACCCAGCCTACACAGAAGACCTCAGAGGAAATGGAGGGGCCAAACGCTCGCTAAACGGGCTTTGGTGAAAGGAGCCAAGACAAAACCCAGCTCTGAGCTTAATTAAAAAGAGTGCGTAGTCCCTCCCCCAACAAATGCAGATTGCCCACAAAGAAGAACAGGAACCCAGTGGCCAGGAAGACCCGCAGCCTTATAAACAAGCACTTTGGGCTATGTAGGGCAGCTCTGCTATGATCTGATACAATGACTATTGTCAAGGAGGGCTGTTTTTCCATGTTTTTGTATCCTTTTCTTCATTTTCTTTTGCTACCTAATTTCATGCATCAGAGGTCAAAAGACAAAAGGTCAGGCCTGGTTTAGAGGCAGCAAACTCCCCACCACCAAGAACGTGTGTCCAAAAGAGCGCTTTGAGGCACCGCCTGCAGACACTGGCAGGTTTTCATCCCTGATTCTCTTTTGTCACTTCATGGGGTACATGAGTCTACGTGCAAATTGCATGAGAAATGAGACACCAACTGCTGTACCAAATTAGGAAAAAATTCACTAAACTGTTTCCATCTCATACTTTGTTTATAAGAATTTGTACCTAACAAGGAAAAGCCCATCTTTGAACTCTCAGCCTGCCTATGGTAGAGAACTTTACACACACACGCGCATGTATATGTAAATATATACATACATAAAATATATATACATATACACACATATATCCTGTAAAAATAAAATCTGAGTACATATTTCTTAATTGTTTTGCTGGGAAGATTTATAAAGATCTGTCCAGAAAATTGCCAATACTTGTTCTAAAGATTGTTTTAGTTGAAAGGATAGCAGCATTTCAGTATGAACAATTTAGCATGATTATTTTGGTACGTATTTCGTATGAATATTTTGTCCTCAGACTGCAAATCTTTCCAATGTATCATTTTGGATTCTTAGGTAATAGTAGATTGACGGAGTTTCCTTATGTGATAGGTCCACACTATGTGTTTATAACGAGGATACAATGTCATGATTTTCCATTAGAAATATTTTCATGATTTAGGGGGATAATGACTTTCTGATTCTATGTCCATAAGCTCCTCATATTAGATATTTCAGATGGTTTTCATCTGACCGAAAATAAATTAGGGGATATCTTTAATTTTTCTTTGTGTAGAGGATTTTTTTTTTTTTGGTAGATTTGCATTCAGTGCCAGAAGGCCCCCACCTCCAGTACAAAGTGAAGGAAAAGTTAAGGCTTTGGGAAGTGTCTCTGGTGATGGCTAAACACTGAGACTGGCTTCAGGGCTCATCTCAAAGGCACTTTGGCCCAAGTGTAGCTCATCTTTTCCATCTTACTCTGGGCTGGGTTGCTAAAGATAGTTAATCAGCAGCAAACCTGAAAGATTTTTAGAGCACAGTTTTATTTCCGGCACGTTCTCAAATCCAGACTTCATATCCTGTAGCCCCCTGACCTTCCCAAAAGACTTCCCTCCCAAAAGAAAAAATAAAAATCAGCCCACAACCTGCCCTGAGGCTGAGGTATTCACTTGGCGATTTGCAGGTTCACAAGGCAGGCTCCAGGGAAAGCACCCCAATCCTGGGGTGATCCTCTGCCACGGCTCTGAAGTTATTACAGAAAAATGGAGAATGAAGAAACGAGAATATTAAAGGGCTTACTTAAAGGCGCGCTTCACTTCCGTTTAACACTCTGATCTGCGTCCAAAACTAAAAGAATCGTTTAGCTTGTGCACTCACCCTCACTCAAAATCGCTTGTGCAGTAGGCTTTTTTATGTTCCAGTACTTCATGGAATCAAATTATATCACATTAAAATGTTATTAGTTTAAAACACATTAAATAAATGTAAGTCTGGGCCGACGCATGAATATTTAAAGCTCACATTACACGGTGAACTAGAAGAAAAGGGGGTGAGGAGAGCCAACAGAACATCGTATAAATACTGATAGAAATAAAGCATCCTATGTGCAAACTTTCTTTAGCAAAATATGGTTTTATTACTTACACTTATTATGGTATTGTTAAATTTGAAAAGAAATATAAAGAGAAATGAACTGATTTACGCTTGTTTTCAATATTAAACAACCAGAATGCCAGTAAATCTTTTCAATGCCCCATTTTGGATTCTTAGGTGAGAGTGGATTGCTGGGACGTGTTGGCAAATTTTAAATACAACTGATTGCCTGTTTTCCATATTCATATATTGCGAATGTAACTCCAGGAGAGTGAATTTTATCTCAAAATTCTCCAAGAGTTGCCTTCAAATAGCGTCTCTGTGCATATGCATACGGCATACACTTGACGTCTACCATGTGTACCTGTGCGCTGGAAACTAGTCGTGGAACTGAATTGAATTAGTGGATTTGAGTTGAAATGAACCCATCCAAACGACCCCAGGTCTGCGCTCTTTGAGGCTTCTCTCAGTAACATTTCTAATGAAAGCAAGAAAAGCAGTAAAGTAAAACAACAATAGTAATAACCCACCATGAGCACCAGGTTACCCGAACACAGACCCATTGCGTATTCTAGCGCAACCCAAGTATTTCCGGGTGGCGAGTCGCTGGCACATGGTGCCCCAGTGAGCCCGCACCCGGAGCTCGAAGCCCTGTAGGCGCAGAGGACCCCACTGCCAACTGAAATGGGTGTTTTGACCCAAACCAATCCTCAGCTCCTTTTTGCCCCGGGCGCCGCCTGAAACCCCGAGGCGACGGCTGGCCCGCGATGTGCACTTTTTGCGCTCTGCGCTGGGGGAGTTGCAGGTGGAGAGGCGCCCCCATCCATCCCGGCACCGCCCCTAGGGAAGCCCCAAGTTTATACCGCAAGGGACCAACTCGCCGCGACTCGGCGTCCACCCTCAATGCTGACACAGTTCAGGCCCGGCAAACGAAGCAGGGCGGGGCTGGGCATTAGGGGCGCCGCCTGCCGAAGATGCGGTACCACGTGCGCGCTGTACGGACCCCGAATCCTGTGAGTCCAGCTCCGGCCACAGGCTTTCGAAGAACTGGGCCCTCGGCTTTAGGGCGGGGCCTCTTCTTTGCCTCCTGCCTGGATGTCGACTCCCACCCACGCTCTGCGCTAGCTCCGGGGCCGAGCCCCAGTGCCAGAGTCGTTCCCTGAGGCTTCTCCCAGGGCTCGCACAGAGGGAGGCCCAGTGGCG
This sequence comes from Homo sapiens, assembly GCF_000001405.40. Lineage (NCBI taxonomy): Eukaryota > Metazoa > Chordata > Mammalia > Primates > Hominidae > Homo > Homo sapiens. The sequence continues at coordinate 37,037,689 of NC_000009.12, read as the reverse complement.
GACGGCGATGGCCCAGCCTTTGCTGGATTCCGGGCTAGGGGTCTGGGGAAGAGGGGCATCGGGCCGGAAATGAGCCCCAGTTCGGGCTCCACGAGCCCTGGAGCCCCCAACGATGTTTCCTGGCTGAGTTAAAGAGCCCGACCTTGGCCCCTCGCCTGGCGATGTCGGCCTCCCCCTCCCTTGCCCGCAGCGTCTTAGCTGGAGGGCAGCTCGCAGCGTGCCTAGGCCAACCCCTTCTGCGTCTCTTTTCTTTTCCTGTCACTCTCTGTTCTCGGCTTCTGCTTTCTCCTTCTCACAGAATGCCAGAGCGCCCAGGGGCCTGGAGGAGCTTCCGCACCAGCCCCTTTTCTGGGCCTCCAATTTGCCTTCCCCACAGTCTAGTCTCCCCCCGTTCCATATTTCTTTCTGTTTAGACTCTGCTCGTATTTCCTCGCCGATTGAGCCAGCATGTGTCTCTGCCTCTAAATCTTCTCCCTCGTGTAACATTAAACAAACCAAGGTGTGTTGAGCTGGAGAAGTCCTGGCAACGTGGACAGAAGGAATGGCTTATTCTGTCCTGGGGACATTTCCGGTCACTACAGTTCGGTTTCCCCTTGAGGCGGCGCCAGCTCCGGTTCCGCCCCGCAGGCCGCTGCTACGGAGGCGCCCGCTCGCTGTCTCGCTCTCTGGCGGTGTCTGCGTGTGTTCGGGTGTGGGCACATGTATCTGTGCTTGCAAACCAGGGCGGGCTCTCCAAACCGAAAGCTGCGCGGAGTTGGGTTTCTGGGATTCTAGGGCTGCGGGCAAGGGAGATGGGGGATTTTCCCGGGATCCCGACTCCGATCTGAGCCTAGACTCCCCGCGTTCTGGCCCCTTGTCCCGTATCTCTAGGGCCGCAGTGTCAATTCCGTGTCCTCCGAAGTGGTTCGTCACCTGCTCCGCCGAGGGGAGCCGCCCCTTGGGCCAACGCTGCGGGAGTCCGGACGGTCCGAAGCATGCTGGCCAGGCGCAAGGGGAGACCGACTCACAGGGGAGAGGGTGGGCAAGGGGACGGCGGCTGGGCCTCGGTACCCCGCGAGGGGGGCTCTGCGATTCTGACCCAGCAGCGGCGCCTCCGGGCCCGCGAGGTTTTGACGACCAGCGGGCGCCCCCTCGGGAACCACATTTGTTTCCCGCTGGTCTCGAGCGTCCAGAGCGCGAAGCGGCGGAGCACGGCGAACCTACGATTCGTGATGCTTGGCCTAATCCTCTGCCCTTCATGGGTGCGGGCAGGAACGGAGTAGCGGCTGATGTCCCCTCCCTAATCCCAAAGCCCCACAAAAGCCAAAATACACACGCAAACTCTCACCAGCGCATCTCACAAACACAAAAACTAAAGACAACACATGAAAATATAACCCGATCCCCCACCAAAACGTACAGTTCAAAAAAATAAAATTCAAATCGAAGGAAACAAAACACACACAACACGAAATTCCCTAAGGCAACACACACACAGACGACACCCACTCACACCAAATCAAAACACATCTAAACACCGCGGAGAAGGAAAAGCCTTACAAACGACACACAAAAAGACAGCCTACAAGGACAAAGTACAAAATTACACAAAATCAAAACTCACCCCAAAGACCAGGACTTACAGAGCAAAACCCGCTAAAATCAATCCCACGAAAAAACAACACGCAAAACACCCGAAACAAAAGAATATCCCATGGAAAAATGAAAACTCACAGAAAACAAACAAAAACAAAACAAGCCCTCTAAATGGAAACAACAACAACAACAAAACACCAACACCCCCCGCCCCCAGCCCGGGGTGAAATGTCAATTCCGGGAGGGCTTTTGATCTCCAGGCGCGGACAGGCCGCTCCTCCCAGGCGCTGCCTCCCGGCGCGGGCGAGGCGGGAGGGCGGGAAGCCTGGGCTGGGGCTGGGCTGCGGAGGGAAAGAGTCGAGCACTCGGAGATGGCCAAAAATCAAATCTCGGGGTAGGGACACGGGCCCGCAGGCTGCAGGGAGGAGGCGGCGCTGGGGAACTGCGCAGACCACTTGGTGGGGGGGCCGCCCGGGAATCCACAGCCACATTTCCGATTGTGGCGAAATCTGCTCAGTGGATATGTGATGTCCAGTTGCCGCCGGGGGCCCCCCTTTCCTCGAGCTCTAGGCTCTTCCCCCTAGGTTGCGACCCAGCCTCGTGACCACCCCCTCCAAAAAACAAACAACACTCTTGCTGAGGACGATTCACTCTCCAAAACTGCCATTGTCCGGCGGGCCAGGAGTCCTCCTACGGAGCGCTCCCCCGCCCTGGAGAACCTTTCCCCTGCGACCACCCCGCTGCAGGGCCCCACAGGCTTTCAGTGGCTAGGCCCAGCAGCTGAACTAACTCAAGGCTGGGGAGGGGAACAGGGAGGGGAGGCTTGAGTCTGGCCCGAAGAGAGAGGGCTGGACATGCCACACCTCTGCTCGGTCTCTGTGGATCTGATTTCCTCTCTGGAATCAAGTCCTGGGGCTCTGGGACTCCACAACGTCTCAGGGCTCGAGGGCAATGCGATTCCACTTATGGGCCGGGGTAAGGTGTCTGGAACTCCCGCCAATCTCCAGAAACTACTGAGATGTTCTGCTCTGCCCGGGTGCTCCAAAGCGGAAGCCCGGATTTCATCTCCAGTATTTCACAGCTTAACCTCCATGCTCTGGGCCAGAATGGAACTTGATGTGGGGAGGGGTTCTGGGACTAGAAGACTGGATGGGACCTGGGGGCTTTAGGGATCTGGCGCTGCCCTAGGGTCAGGGGCCCAGCAATAGTCAGGACCCCAACAAATTGGGGTGGGGGTTGGATGGCTGGGAACCCTGGGGTCGGGCGCCGCCCTAGGGGTGAATCGGAGTAAACCGGAACGTCGCCTCGGTGCCTGGCAACACTGCCAGCCTTTGCAACCCCTTTCAAAAGCACCTGCTTGGCCGAGCAGTTAATTTCTTCAAAAACAAAAACCCGGCCTGCGCTCGTCTAAGCAGCGGGGTTTGCACATGGAGATGTCACAGGCCCCGCGCACAGCGCAGAGGGCCGCGACCCCCAAGCGCATGTCTTAATAGAAGGTGCGGCTGGAAGACCCGGGCTCCCGGGCTCCGCTTCGGTCTGCCCCTTCCCGTAGGTGCGCTGGCTAGCGCCCGGCGCAGGCTGAAGCCTTCCTTCCCTCCCCCCAACCCCTATAAAAGTCTGGGGCGGCGCGGCAGCAGCACTGCTGCTCTCCCGGCTTCCCGCTCTACTCCGGCCGGGCCGGGTCCGCCACGTCTGGCGCGCTGAGCAGGCCCGGCCGCGCAGCGCCTACCCTTTCCTCGCTCCGGGCCGGCAGTGTGGGGCGGCGCGCTGGGGGCGCGGCGTGTCTGGGGACATCTTGTGATGTTGGCGAGAACAGGACATGATCTCACATGGCGAGAAGCTCTTTAGTTCCTTAATCATTTCACGGTGCCTTCGGACGCTTTTTTTCCACCTAAAACGTTTAGTTTCAGCTCAGTGATCAGCTACCCCAGCTCGGCGGGGGAGCGGAAGGCTTGAATTATTCCGACCTGTGAGCGGCCCCTGGCACCAAAAAAAAAAAAAAAAAAAAAAAAAAAAGAAAAAAAAAGGCACAAAAAAGTGGAAACTTTTCCCTGTCCATTCCATCAAGTCCTGAAAAATCAAAATGGATTTAGAGAAAAATTATCCGACTCCTCGGACCAGCAGGACAGGTAGGACCGCGATACGGGCTCCAGATGTGCAAACTCCGGGACACGGCCAGGCCTTGGTCCCCACGCAGGGTGACCCTGGAGGAGGAGGGGGCGCGCCGCATTTTCGTAGAGACTGTCTAACTGCGGCGTGTTTGTTATGTTTTTTCACCTATCTGTTCACACACTTCTGCATCAGTCCAAATATCTGTGAGTTTGTCTGTGTTTTTCTCTGTTTCTGAATGTTCACGCTGGCGTCCTTCCGGGGGTCTGCAAGTTAGGGCCTGTGTGTTTATATAAGGGACTCAGTGTGTTCATTACAGTATATGTATTTTTAAAAGATGTAAAAATATATGAGTTTGTGTCCAAAAGTTGTTTGCCTGTGTGTGTGTGTGTGTGTGTGTGTGTGTATCTTTATACTCGTGGGGTATTCGTGTGTGTTTATAAGTTAGTACTTGTGTATATTCTTTTGGGTATCCAAAATGTGTGTCTACTATGAGTGTTATTTATGTAATTCGGAAATATCTGAGTGTACATCCACTATTTAAAGGGTCTGCATTCACCTGTTATATCCCAAGTGATTTTTGGATGTGAGAAAGAAGTGGCTACACTGACCTTTCCATTTTTGGATGTCAACGGCTGTCCGATGCATACACGCCAATGTTCACATTGTGTCTCTAGGCAAACTCCTAGACGTGGGTCTGGGGCCTATGGAGATCCGTGGTGTTTAGCATGTGCATTGTAAGGCCCAGTGTCCATTCTATTGGGAGATAGGACCAGGAATGAAGGTGTGAATTCAGGGCATGCAGCCTCTTGGTGTGCAGTGAGCACTGTTCAGGCTACCATTTGTACAAACAGGTCTCCTGTGGCAGGCACAACCTTGCAGATGACAGCGGACACCTGTAGGGTTAGTTGTGACATTTCTAGGGACCCCCAGCCTACATTCACTTTCACCTAGACAAGCCTCTGACACTGGCGTGTGTATTTGTGTGTACACACAGACACACACACACTGTGTCCTCAGGTTTTATCCTGTGGGTGCCGCACCAGTGGAGGAGAGCACAGTGGGTGGATGCATGTGCATAGTCTGGGCATTCAGCTCTAGGGCCTGTATGCGCACAGGCCTCCCTGGCTTAGGTCCCCATGTGCCTCCCACAGGCCTGAGAAGTAGGTAGCAGGATGTGTTTATGTCTGAGAGGAGATAGCAGGGACAGTAGGCCTCCATCTGCCCTGAGGCATGAATCAGGTATGGGGGGCCTCTTTCACTCACTAGGCCACTGTGTAACTCCCACACAAACACTCTCTTGGCCCTGGCAAGAAGCCCCCTTCCCCCATCTCTGTGCCCTCTGAGAACCCCCATCTCTCCTCCAGCCTCAAATACAAGCCTAAGAGCAAAAAGGATAAACTTAGACCCCAAGCCCAGGACAACTTCTGGGGCATAACTGTGTTTCCAAAATTGTGGCTGGAGAGAAGTGAGGGCAGAGATCTGAGGCAGAAGAGTGCTCCCAGGATGAGGGCTCAGGAAAAGTTACCTGGAAACTCCTCTTCTCCATCCTCAATTCTCAGAAGGCCCTTCTCCCTGGCAGTGGGCTTCTCAGCAGATGGACTTTCAGAGAGACCTGAGCCTGGAAGTGGGTGTTGTGTATGTGTGGGGAATGAGGCGGGGATGTGTGAGTGTCATGGAGAGGGTCTGCGCAGTCCTCGGGCTGGCTCTCCCGACAAGCTGTGTAGAAGAATGTAATTCATGGCGGTCGATGGGCTCTTTGATTAGTTCAATTGCCTGAATAATCATTTAATCAATAAAGCATTTTATTCCTCTGCATAGCTGGACTGGGTGGGGCTTGGGGTGGGGTGAGATACGGGAGCCCTAGGCTGGCCAAGCCTTAAAATCTAGAGAGCCACGCCCCCTCCTCACTGATGGGTTGGGGAAGAGCTGCCTGCCTGGAAAAGGGCGACAGTTCAAGTGAGACTGCACTTCCATCTGTCCACTCCAGCCTGGGTCAGGGCTGGAGAAGAGAGGGAAGCTGAGAAGCTGTCCAAGCTGGTGCTCAAAGGGTTGTCCAGGTCTGGTTCCTATGAGAGCTTCTTCCTTCTCCCAACTTCTGGGTATTTCATGGGCCAATAGACTTCCTTTTTCTTCCTTCAGAACCATATTCCATTTCTTACCCCAACCTCAGTTTCCCTATCTGCCCAATGGGGAGGGAGTGTGTCCTTCTGGCTCTAAGCCCAAAATAAGGTCAGGTCAACACTAAGCAGGGAGCCACTTAAGGACCTTCTCCTCTAATGTCTTCCTTGCTGTAGGGAAAGGAAACTCAGAGGTTCGGAGAGGGGAAGGGACTTGTTCGAGATCATAAAGCATGAGTAAGGGAGGGAATAGGAATGGAAGGTGACCTCTCTGCCCTTAGACCTCCTGTTCCTGCTGGGAGAAGAGACAGATTCCCCCCTCTCTCCATGGACCCCCTTGGAGAAAAACTACTACTTGGACAAGTAGTAGTCTCTCCTTGCCATGGGAACCCTTGAGTCCTTAGATCCGGGCAGACCTGGATGGATTGAGTACTTTCCCACTGGGCATTGACATCCAGTCTCACAGTTCTGGAATGAGCCTGGAATGGAGTGATAGATATTAATAACCCCCATCCATGAAGCTTCATCTCACAGAGCCTAAGAAGTCACATCTCAGGATTTGTTCTCTGTATTAAACAAACGGGGAAGCAGAGGCTTTAGAAGGGGCTGCCTGTCTCAAGTCTTTGGGAGAGAGAGTAGTCCCAGCGCCCCTGGCCTGCAGGACATGCTGGTAATGATAACACACCCCGACTAAGGTGATTTTACATGATTCTTGAAAAACCTGGTTAAATTCTCATTTTTTCTCCATCCTCTTCAAGAACTCCTGAAAACAGGGACAGGTCAAGTAGAGCAGACTCCTGATCCAGGGGCAGGAATCATGCAGGAATCTGCTGTGCCTCCACTTGCTGTATAATTTCAGGTCAATTTCTTTCCCTCTGATACTTAATTTTTTTTATTTTTTAAAAATGAAGTTTAGACAGAACTCAGTGGGTTGAGACAGCCATGCTGGCAGCATCCCTGATCTTTCCAGAACTGAGCAACCAGTCTGAGCCCTATTGGGCCTCACTTTGTCAGAAGCAAGAACAGGGAAATGGGCTGGACTTGGGTTGAGAGAGTCGATGTCAGGCTACTAGAACACTGTAGCAGCCCCCACATCCTGAAGCCACGGTAATGCAGTGCGCTGGGAGGCGTGGAAAGGGAAGCCGGGAGGGGGTGTGTCCCCAGTGAAACGAGGTCTCTGGCTTCTCACACATTATTCTCAATGGGCTGTCTTTCAGTACTAAAACTTTCAAAGGCAATTCGGTTCACATAAATTGAGTTTCTTCCTGGATAGTTTCCTTTCGCGGTCTCCTGCCCCCAGCGCCTAGCACAGGGCCCGGCCCAAAGCCCTGTTACTGGGAGAAAGAAAGCGCATCACTGTAGATCAGAGTGAGGCCCGACTGCGTTGAGAGCCGCGGTGAGAGCTGCTAGTCTCGCTCTCCTGGACCCAGGCTGCGGCTCGTGGGCGTTCAGAGACAGGACTGAGGCGCAGTAGCCCGGCTCCACCATGGACTTGCTGTGCAGCCTCGAGCTAGTCACGTAACCTCTCTGGGCTGTCGTTTGGTGACCTGTAAGGCTGGGCTAGGTGGTCACGGTATGAGGTCCGGTCGCGCCTTTTGGGGTTGGAACTTCCCAGAGGCCGCCCGCTCGGGCGGTGATGAATCACCCCTATCCAGAGGGAAACTCCTTCCCCCAAGAACGCCGAGAGTTGCGGGAAGGGGCTGCTCTGGGTGCACAGGTAAGACGGGTCCTGTGTGTGCCACGCAGCAGAACACTGTCCCGAAGCCGAACACCTACTGTGTGAAAGGGAGAATCGGCGCTACTCCTGCTCGGGCCGTGCCCCGGGGATTCTATGCAAGCCTCACGGGTATCCGAAGGAAAACCTGCGTGTGCGGGCATATTCCAGCCGAGTTCTTCGATTTGGCAGCATCGCCCCTCCCCCACCATCCCGAGAGCGGCTCTGGAGAGGCGCTTTTGAGAAAGGTTTCCAGCCCGCAGCCTTTCTTCTACCCCAGACTTGCTGTGTGACTTTGGACAAGTCGTATCCTGCCTCTGGGCCTCGGGTTCTGCACCCGTGAAATGGAGAAAGCATAGCTTCGAGGCCCTTTTAGCTCTAAGAATCTAGAGAACCTGGGTTTGTAGGCCTGAGCTCAGCAAGAGAGGCTGGGGGTGGGGGTGTCACTGGCTGCATCCCTCAGGGCGTCCCGCACTCCCGCCTCTCCAGTAGGTGTGCAAGCCGCCATGTTGAGTCTGGGCCGAGGATCTGAATTCTGGTTATTTCCGACCCACTGGGCGCCATCGGGTGAAGCCAGTGCAGGAAGTCTATTCCATCCCAGTCCCTCTCTGCTGTTGCGATCTTCCTGCTCCAAGGCCGGGGGTGAAAGGGGAAGATCCGGACAGGCGGGGTTCCAGACAAAGAAGAGATAACGCCGCCACTCCACCCCGGCGCGCACTGCAGCCTCCTGGGTCCCCAGAGTCCCGCCTGGGGCCGTTTTCCGCAGCTGTGCCCTGGTGGGGGGTGGGGACGGGTGTCAGCGCCGGAAACTTGTCTACTGGTCAGGGACAGCTGGGTGTGGAACAGGGACAGAAGGTGGGCCCAAGAGTCGACCCCAGTGTAGGAGTTTGAGAAGTAGAGCATGCGTAGAGAGAAGGCAGAGGAAGGGAAACCGAGGCAGAGAATAAAACAAGAGGATAACCCAGGAATCCTCTCATGATCAGCCTGTACTCTTCCTTACAAGCCCAGTCCTGGAGCAGGCATCTCAAAGCCCTTGTTTTGTGGATTTATGTTTAATATTAGCGGATCATCACTCATGAAATAGAAATTGAGTCTTCGGACCACTCCCATGAGTTGCTGGGGCAAGGGAATCCTCAGCGTCGTTCTTGAGCCAGGGCCCAGATGGCTCACAGAACTATAGCTTCTTGGGTGAAGAATGACTGTCACACGCTTCCTTTTCAAGGTCCAGTTTCTTTGATTGTTGTCTCAGAGCCTTAAAACCCACAAAGAAGCGGACTCGCTAGTCAAAGATCCCTTGTGTAGCAAGAGAGTTCTGCTACAAATCCATCCATTTTGTCTACATAGGGACAGGAACTTCCCCTGTAGAGGGAAGGTCAGTTTCCCATCAACTGGAAGCTGCCGCATTGCAGCGCGCCTGGCCGCTTTGCTTGACCCTTGCAGATAGAATGCGCCTGTCCACCCGCCCGCTTCAGGGACCCTTATTAGCCCTGGACGCGACTTGGCTCATTCGGTTCTCAAGAAGCCTTGAGCCGGGTGCGGAATTTCTCCGGTGGACAGAAGCGCAACACCAGCTCCCAAAGCCTCTGGCAGTTCCTGATCTGAGGCAGGAAAGAGGGCCAGCCACTCTGCTTGGGCAACCTGGCCCAAAGCCTTAGCCCCTCCACCCAGGTGCGCCCTGGTGCGCCCCAGTTACTAACTTTAAAGGAGTGTGAGATATTCTCCCCCTTCCCCCAACGTCTCTGCCTTTCGTTAATGCAGCAATGAGGGCCCTGCAGGTGGAGTGAGGGAGGAGGGTGGACGACGAGGAGCCAGTGGTGGTTTAGTAGGTACTTGATAAAATTAGGAAATAAAATTAGGAAATATTTCCGTGGAAGGAGCCTTCAGTAAAATCTAGTTAACCCCACTCTGCCCATTTTACAGAAGAGGAAAGTGAGGTCAGAACTGGCAGATATGCACACACTCCGATGCACACAATCCGATCCCATCACGAGCCTGATGGTACAGGATCCCTACTGCGCTCCTTGTCTTCCTCCAACATACATTTTTTGTTTTTTGGTTTTTTTGGAGACTTCCCCCATTCTCACCCTTCAATCGACTGCTCTCAAGCCTTGAGAGCGTCCCAGGATCCCAGCATCGCTGTGGGGAGGTCCAGCCCGCGTGGGACCCGCAGCGGGACTCTCCAGGCACTGCGTGGGCCCCTTTCCCCTCCCCACAGCCGCGATCCACTAGGCCTTAGTCCAGCGCGTTTGTCAATGAACGTGGCGCCGCCGCCTGGGCCCCGCCCCCCATTCTCTCCCATTGCCCAGGTGTCCGCTAATCAGGCGGAGCCTGTGGGCTGCTTAGCCAATGGGGCGGTGTTTCGGGCCAGGGCCGGCTGACGCCACTCTGATTGGCTTGGTGGAGCGTGATTGGCAGGTTAGCCCCCGCCCCGCCCCCGCCCGGAGGGAGCTGAGCCCCGGGCGGCGCTGTCCACACGCAGCGGGTCCTGAAAGCGGCTCCGGGGCGGCGCGGTGGCGCACTGTGCGCGCCGAGCAGGCGGAGGGCTAGCGACGGCGGCGGCGGCGGCAACGCAGGCAGTCAGAGCCGACTGCGGCTCCATCTCAGCCCCGGCAGCCCCGGCGGCCTTGGTGGCTGGGACCCTCTGCTCTCTCCTCTGTTCCTCACTCCACGCCTGGGGCAGGCACGGCGGCCGTCCCGGAAGAGGCAGCGGAAAGACAGTGGAATCAGACCCACGAGGGAGGGCGGCGGGGCTCGAAGAGTTGGTTGGCACGAGGTAGACACCCCGGCGAGGAAGAGTCCGTCGCTGGTGTCCCCGTTCCTGGTCCCAGCGATGGGCGAGCAGCGGGGGCCGCGGGAACTTTGAAGGCAGCGGGTCTCAGTGTTGGAGGGCTGCACGCTCCCGGGGACTCCGGAGTCGCGGCCCCAGCGTCAGGGGCGGAAGCATCTCCAAACCCGCCAGGACCCCGCGCTGCCGGAGAGGAAGTTCTTTGCAACTTCGTCCGAGACGTCGGAGAGCCAGTTGGAGAGAGGCGGAGGGGGCAAGTCCGAGCCCCAGAGACTCGGAGAAGCAGAGAAAGAAAGGATCTGGCGGAGACCGAGGGGTCGAGGAGGGACCTCAGAAGCATCGAGGCCGCGGAACCAGCCTGGCAGCCCCCGGGTCTCTCCGCCCCCTGAGTGAAGTCAAGGGCCGATTGTTCCGGCGGCCTCCTCAAAGCTGCTCCTTCCTGGGGCCGGGGGCTGCTGGCTGTCCCGGAGGCGGGCCCCTACGCTATGCCCCCGAAGCCGCGGGCGCCTTGGCCGCAGCTACCCCGGGCTGGGCCCGGAGCTGCTGCTTGAGCCAGCCAGGGAGGGAAGCCAGCCGGAGTTGGGCACCCGCTCCTAGCCCGGGTGCGCTAGCACCATTTCCCGCCTCTCCGCGCAGCTCCGGGCGGTCTCCAGCAGGGAGGCTCTGAGAGAGACCCCGAAGCTCCAGCAGTGTTTTCTGAGCCCAGCTCGCACAGTGCCTGGCCTGGTGGCGAGGCTCCCTATCCGCCCTGGGCAGCCCCTTGGCGCCGGGAGGCGGCGGCGTGGGCCGGCCTGCAGTCTGGAGCGCCCCGATGGAAATACACTGTAAGCACGACCCGTTTGCATCCATGCATAGTAAGTAGGCGGCGAGCTCGCTTCTCTCACTCTCCCGCCGGGACCGGGTTGGGGGTGCCGGACCGTGGGTCAGGTACTAAGGCCGGAAGGATCTCGGACCTCTGCAGCCGCGCAGCTAACTTTGCAAAGTGCAGGGATCCCAGGCAGGGGACCTGAAACAACGCACTTGGCCGCCCGGGCTGAGGCACCTGGGAATCCCGCCTCCGGCAACGCGTAGCTTGGGCAGCGAGCTGCAGCCTTTCAAGGCTCCGGCGGCGACATTTCAGCTCTTTCGGAGAACCCTGGCTTGGACCCGTAGAGGGCTCCGGGCCAGGCCAGTTGGAGGGCAGTAAGTTGTAGGGAGAGGCCAGTCAGAGTCTCAGACAGCGCCCCACACCCCTACTCCGATGGCGCCTTTTTCAGCCATGGGGCTGATCCAGACTGGCGCTTGGAGGGATAGTGGGGCCCTGACCCGTGTCTGTATGTGTGGAGGAAGAGGTTGAGAGCTAAGCGAGGACACCGGGGCTAGGGCTCCAAAGGCGTCCTGGAGTTGAGGAGGGGGCTTTGAAAAATCAAGGAAGTAGCGGTTTCTGAGTTCAGCTTCTGCTTAGGAGCCGGCCAGTTCATACAGAGACCCTTAAAGACCCCATTGGGTCCTTCTCTGCAGGACGCCTTTTCTCATGGCTTCTCCCCTTTAAAAAAAGAGGATAAGAAACGAAAAAGAAAGAAAGAAAGAGGAAGCCAATTAGTTACCACGCAGGCACCCCCGCCTCTGAAAGACGCAGCGTGTGTAGGAGACGGGAAGGGTCATTTAGGGCGAGGGCAAGGCCGGCCTGGCTGCCTGGCCCGCAGGGATCCTGCCAATTCACCCATTACCACAGCCTCCTGTGAGATGAGCGCTCCTCTCACGGTGAGTTAACGCCGGATTAGATTCGGAGATTTCAAGGAAATTCCAAGTGGAACGAATCGCGTTTCCTTTCTGTTTGCTGCAGAGCCAGGCTGGAGGAAGGTGACAGGCTTCGGCAGCCTCGGCTCGGGTGCCGCTCGGGGTCTCTGCGGGCTTCAGGTCAGGGAGTTGCTCCCGGGCTAGGAGCCGTCCCCATGCCTGGTCCTCCCACCCCGCTCCCCCCCATCCCAACAGCCTGGGATCCAGCTTTCCTAGCCGCAGGTCCCCTATTTAACAAAGGCAGCAGAGACCCGGCTGGAGTGAAGGTGAGCTTCCCGGGGCGAGCATGTCCGTGTCTGCCACGCAGTGCTGAGTGGCCTGGCAAGCAGGGGAAAGCTTGTGTAGGCAGCCAGGGCTGGCTGCGGGCAGGTCAGTTTCTCTTTGTGTCAATTTTCTGAGTCTGAAGTAATCCACCAAAGCGGTGGGGAGCTCTGTGCAGAGGAGCCCCCTGTTCTGGTCCCAGCCCAAACGATTCCTCAAGGTTTGGGGCCTGCGCCCAACCGGTTTCCAGTCTGTGGTGACCCCAGTGCCCTCCACAGCCTTTTCTGCCTCGGACTCCAGCCTGGCTCTGGGGAGGACCTGATCTTGCAATGTAAGCCCAAAACAAACCAGTTAGGGCAATGCTCTGAGAGGTGAGCAAGCCCTTGGCTCAGCCAAGGAGCAACTGTGGGGACAGATGGGGAGCACCAGCCCCTGCACTTCTCTCCTCACTGGTGGAAATCCACAGGCCCTCACTGTGTCCTTCCGCCCAGCGCTCGGTGGCCCAGAGGTTGTGCCCTAGCCCTTGGGGAGATAGCATCAGACCTGGTGGTCTCTCGGCTGAGCATCAGTGTGGAGAAGGCGGCTTCTTTCAGGTGCAGGTTAGCCAACCGCTAATGTCTGTGCCTCCTTGTCCGGCCTTCAATCGCCCCCTCCGTGGGAAGTGCTCCCTCCCATTTTCAATCTCCCTGGCAGCACAGTGGGGGCTGGGCCCCAGCCAGTCTAGCTTCCAGAGCAGGTGCAAGACCTTGGCTTCTCTGGAAGCACTCTCGGTTCTGAGGCCCAAAGCTGTTTTCTTGCACAATGTAGGCCTGCTCTGGGGCCCCAACTTGCTAGCAATGGGGAGTGGGGGGTACAGTAGATCCTGGAAGGTGGCTGAGGTAGTAGAGGCTCAGATCAAGTCCCACTTCGTCACCTTCCTCCTGGCCCAGTCAGTTTCTTCTTCCTGTTACCGCTCCCTGCCTCCGTCCCCCTACCACTGCTTCCCCCCACCACTGCTTCAGAGCCGGATAGCTTCTTTGGAGAGGAGCAGGGACTTCCAGGAAATGGGCTTCTGAGTTTGGAGGAGTCCCCACCCACTATTCCAGGCTCATCATTTTCATCAGCACGATAACCTCCTGCTCTCTTCCTGAGCGGTTCCCCTAGGTATCTTTACCAGTTATAAAACACTCATAGCCAGGGTCCTACCTGACGGTGGCCTAAACCTTCAGCTTCACCCATTTTGCAGAATATGATATTGAGGTCAGAGAGACAAAAGGACTGACTCAAGAAGTTCACATTGGCACAGCTGGAGCTGGTTCTTGGGTCTCCCTGACCATCTGACAAAGGCATTAAAATGAAGCTTCAGAGGGTTCACAGAAGGGGAGAGGGAGGGACTCAGATTCCAGAGAGAGGGCAGTGGGTATACACATATGCAAAGCTCTCTCTCTGTCTAGTCTAACCATGTATATGTCTACTGCCTGACTCTCCACATGTATCAATACCATTAGGGAGACTTCTTCCCTGCCCTTTCCCTGTGCCCCTGTTTGCCTGTCTGTGTACCCCTTCATTCTTTCTGGTGCATCTAGGAAAAATTTTAATGATCTTGTGGGGGTCCTGGAGCTCAATCTGTGGCTGAGTCAGCAAAGTCCCTTTCCCCAAAATCCTATGCTCAGCCATGGTCTTTGGGGGTATTGGGAGGGCCTGTGGTGGGTAGCATGACCTTATCAGGGCCTGAGGAGCATCTGTGGAGGCCAGCCCTTTCCATACCAGAGTCACAAAGGCCTCAGGGGCCTCTGCAATTCAGTCTTTCTCTCCTCACTCCCCTCCAAACACTGCCCAGTCTGCCCTGTCCTGTGGTCTGTCTTTTTCTTGTATCTGTGGGTCTGTTTCCTGGTCTTCACCTGATTTGTTTGCCTCTGTCTCTGTGTCAGTCCCCCTTTCACGGGATGAGTCCTCACCTAACTGGAGTCCATAGGAAGTACAGGCTGGGACTTGGGTTCTCCAAGAAGATGCAGGGCCAGAGCTGGCACCCCAGAAAACAAAGGTCCTCTGTCTAGAGAAGTCCCCTGTCCTCCAGAAGCCCCTTCCTGGGCTTCCTCCATTTTCTCTTCTTATTGCCTCCCGTTGTGTGCCACCTTCGTCTTTCTTTTCTTGGCCTATTCTAGCTTCTCCATTCCTTTTCCCTCTCCTCTGCCTGCCTAACCTGCTGCTTCCTTTCCAGGCTCTCTCTCTCCTGGTTGTCTGTCTCATTCAGTTCCCACTCTTTACACTTCTCTTAACACACCTCTTTTTTCCTCTTTTCTTTCCCTGTCCTGCCTCGCCTCATTCAGACTTTGGACTTCACTTCTTACCAATTCCAGAGTAAGTGACCTTCCTCACACCATAGTTGTAAACCTTCTCACCACCACCCTCTAAGAGCTCTATTGGGTAGGATTGTGATGGTGGAGAAGGCCAAGGGGTCTTGGGGACCTTTCAAGGAAGTTGAGGAAGGTAACAGGCTCCCAGGTCACCCCAAGTCTGTTGTCAGCTGTGGACCTATAGATGAGATTGTGAAAGAGCATTACTATCTCAGCCTATGTGGTCAAGGGTAGAGGGTTTGGGGACCTGCTCTCACCTTGAGAGACCTGGCTCTAGGAGACCTTTAGGGTTTTCCCATGATACAAAACAGCCCCCAGTGCTCATAAATGTCCTGCAGGACTGCTTTTGGAATTTAAGTCCTCTGAAGGTTGCCACTGTGTTTTGGGCAGAAAGTCTCAATTGTCAGTGACATAGAGAACAGGCTATTGCAGATGGACCATAATACCTGGACTCCCAGGTCATATCAAAAGTGTGCTGGGTGTTTAAGCTTCCTTTGCCTGCCCTTTGTTTTCCCAGATGAGCTTATACCAATTTTGAATTTATTTTCTTTTACTTAAATCCAGCCTGCTCTTGAAAGATCTGTACAACCTTTTTAAATAGGTGTTCCCAGCCCCAGAACAAAGCCTTCTGAAGGCTCTTGGCCAGGGTGGCTGCAGTCTTTCTGTTTTAGAAAAACTATGCAATTATGTTTCTAACTGCAAAATCCTATTTGGAATGGTTTTCCTTTTTCTTATGTCTTTTAGAACAATCAAAACTGAATAAAGATCATTTTGAAAATCAGAAATCCAGCTTAGAACTGCAACTAAGTACTTCAGTTATCTATAAAATTGTGTTTTTCCTTGAAATAAGCCTGAGCCTGGACGTTTTTGGGAAATATTCATGGGAAACTTGAGTGGATTGCTTGGACAGTTTTTAGGAAATACATTATATTATGGGGGTTTTTGCTCCCTTTATTTCAGATGAGGTTCATGAACCTGGGTTGTAGTTTAGTACTGGGGAGAAATAGCTGAGATGAGGTGGCTATTTCATATTTTAGAGTTGAGTATATATGTGTGTGAGACCTTTGAGGTCTTTCCCTTGTACGGTCCAGTCCTAGTCCAGTCTTGGTTCAGGAGGAGTTTCCCCTTCCTTTGCCTCTGAGCTGCCAGCAACATCAATAAATGCTTTGACTTGGCTTTGGGCTCCAGTCTTCAGCAACGTCAGTGAGTGACTAATTAACAGCTATAAGGTCAATGATGTTGCTGCATCGGATCACTCTGTGTTTACTGGTTTGGCTCTTCATTTACTTGAGTCCTTGTGTCCTTCCAGATGGACCTTGATGTAAGAGAAGGGTGGAGGAGGCACTTTCTCGGGCTCCTTTTACTTAAAATCTATCCCAGGACCCTTGTAAAACCTGGGATCCAGAGGCTTTTGTAGGTTTCTTTATTTTCCCTGGACCAAAATAAAGCTATATGTCAATTGCAAAACATTGTAAAAATTCCAGGGAAACTCCTTTATAACAAATCCCCGTGCAGTGGAGTGGAATGTGCTGTGTGTAGAAGATGCTATGACCCATTTCTTTTGTGTGCTTTGAGAAGGTACAGTGGTCAAGTCTGCATGTCAACCTCACCTTCTTAAAGGGAGGGTTTTAAACAAGGCAATGGTTGTTTTTTTTTCTCAGTACTCTGCAGGTGCTGTTAAATTTTTAAAAAATTCCTTAGCCCTTGAATTAGATTGCTGATTAAAAACAAAATTCCCTGAGATATAAGTTTATTGGAGTTGTTCTTTTCACTTTTAAAGACATTTGTTAAAAGGAAACGAGTTTTATTTTTTTCCTCTTTAAATATGATGTATTTTAATGCATATTTTCTCCCCAGGATCTTCCTTAGACCTCAGCATCACATAATAAGTTGTGCCCATTTCGTTTACATTGAGATCTTCACACATTTCATTGTTTAGAAAAATTACGGGGAAAATGCTAATAATAGTATGGGGATGTTTGCTGTCAATAGCTCAACAGACTGGCTGCAGATGGACCAAGGCTAAGATTAATTTTAAAAAGCAATCTGGGGACTTCGTGTAGTTTGCACGATTGGACTCCAGGCGCGAGACATCCAGCCTGCCGGCCATTTGTGATCAGAGGGGCTCTGGGTCCTCACAGCGGTGCTTCTCCTATGTGACTGGTTCTAACTACCCTTTCCCTTTCCTTTTGTTTCTGATCTGTTTCAGGACATGGAGGAGTGAATCAGCTTGGGGGGGTTTTTGTGAATGGACGGCCACTCCCGGATGTAGTCCGCCAGAGGATAGTGGAACTTGCTCATCAAGGTGTCAGGCCCTGCGACATCTCCAGGCAGCTTCGGGTCAGCCATGGTTGTGTCAGCAAAATTCTTGGCAGGTAAAGGCAGTAGCTCGAGGCTTCCCTTGATCTTTCAAATAAAGACCTAAAACATGACCCAGCAGCTGTCCAATATGACAGTATCATAGTGAGAATCATGGTGGCATTTTGTTTCACACGCAGAGCACTTTAAAGTCTGCAAAGCCCCAATTCCAAGTAGCCCTTGGAAACCCCTGTCTCTAGTGACATGTGGAATAGGGTGACTTAGTCAGGAGGGAAGACATGTTTTCTGAAAGCCTGGTGAATTGTTCTAAAGAACTCAAGAGTAAGACGTTCTTGGGAATTTCCCTTATATATCCTAGGTGAGCCTGGGTCCCCGCGTAGGACTTAATATCACATAACCAGAGTTCAATGTTTCATTTTAATGTTTTTGGAAGCATATTCCACTTTTAAAAGTCAGCTGTTATTTTCAGTTTTGGGTTATTATCAACCTTGTTATGTTGGGCTGCAGTATTTTCCTTCTCTATGTTTTTATTTCCATCGCAGTGACAAGCATCCAAAGTATATATTAAATTAGAGAAGAGGAAAAAAAAAAAACCCAAACACCAACTTTCAAATATGACATTTGAAAGTTGCCACTTGACCTGGCGATTTGCTGCAAACAAAATACTAACAATGAGGCTTCTCCCATAGGACCGTGCAGCCTTTTAGCACTCCCGTTTATTTTCTCAGTAGCCTCCGCATGATCCAATGAAGCACGTTTTAAGATGAGAAAACAAACCTAGACAGGCAAAGTGACTGACACAGGTTTATCTAGCCAGGCAGTACCCGGGTTGCAATGACGCCTAAAGGACCCCTAGACCATCTGGGTCTCACCATAGCCCCAAAACAAAGCCACAGGTTTGTTTCTGGGCATGTGATCTTGTTTTAGGTCTGCCCTGGCAGGCAGGAGCTTTCTTGGGTTTAGCTGTTCAGTGCTTTCTCACTATTTCTTTTCCCGGGTCAGAAAACAACCTTTGTCCTGTAGTTTGCATTATGGTTTGAGCACAGACACCTGAATAGGAGGTAAATATTTTGAAGTATGTCAGTGACATTCTGACTTTCTCCTGGCTCCTTCCCTTTCATCTGCTGGAATTCAAGAAATTCTCTCAGATGGAAGGAGCAACAGCTTCTAATAACCTTGGGGAGGCTGCTTGTTTGAGGCCAAGGGAAGAAATTTTAGGACCAGGGGTCTGGCAGCTCCTTTGGGGACCTTGATCCCAGGGTTCATTCCGCATCCTCCAGCCCAGTGCAGGTTACCTGAGCTGTGGGGGCTGTGGGCTTCACTCCTGTTTAGCACTCAGCAAATGAACCCCAGAGATAGGGGGTGATTGCAGGACATTAACATGGTTTTCTTGTTAGGTGGTTGTTTTAGGCAGGCGGATGGGAGCGAGAGAAGAAAAGTCGAAGACAGAGAGATAGAGAAAAGAAAAAGAGAAAAAGAAGACAAAGAGAAAAGAGAGTGATTTTAAAAAGGCAGAGAAATAGAAAGAGATAGATAAATGACAAGACAGGAGAAAGAGAGAGAGAGCACAATACTTTAGACTATCTCAGCATCAGACTTCTAGAACCAAAAGGCTCCTAGATATCTTTTTGTGGAGCCTCTTCATTGTACCGAGAGAGAGGGAGAGAGAAAGAAGGCCCTTTCTTTGTTTTTGCTGAGACATCTTTGCTGAGCCGACATTTTGCTCGCTGTTTGAAATCCCAGGGCAAGATACTGAGCCTTTTTCAGAGGGGACATCCAAACATGTGGTCCTCATGTTCTGGTGCTCTGGAGCCTCCAAATCTCCCATGGAGATTGAGGGGGACAGGGATGCTTCCGAGACCAGCCGGCACCCGGAATAGATTTGTCACTAGGTAGAGTGGCACTCGGAAGTTACGCGCCGCTCCGGTGCCTGACCGTTTAAGTTGTCAACAATAAATTGGAATTTCATAGCTCATTATTTTCATAACTAAGAACCACAGTGGACAAAATGTCACTCTAATTAGAACTGCCTTTTAAGAAACAAGTTCAGCCCTAAAACAGTGTAACTGGGAATTTCTGAACTGGGGCCGTTCAATCCACAGATTTTTTTTTTTTTTTTTTGGTCACTGAAGAATTTGATGGGCACACAAGAGGTGACAGATTGTAGGGAGAGTACGATGTGTGGTGGCTATGGTTTCCAGAGTGTGTGGCAAGGCAGGCAAAGTCCCTGGGGCACACAGGGACCCCTGTCATCTCAGGAAGGTGGGCGGTCTGCCAGGAGTGTGGGCATTCAGTCTACAGAGCTCAAGGCTTCGGAGGGGCTAGAGACGCACAGCTTGGTGGCATCTGAGGCTGAGTTAAATCCACCCAGGGCCTGGCTGCTGTCTTTTTTCACTGGAGCCTGGTTGGGAGGTTCAGGTCATTGGTATTGGGTAGTATGTTACACAGTAAGAAGAAACACTAGGGATTTTAATCCTCCGCACGTGCTCTTTATTTTATGTTTTGCAAAGCTTATTCTCAACCGTCTGTATTTCTGTCTTCAAAACAGCCCCACAAAACAAGCAGGGAAGACATTCTCCCCCTATTGTATGAATGGGAAAATTGAGGCCTAGAGAGGCTAAGTGAGTTGGCCAAGATCACACAGAGAGTTAGCATCAGAGCCACCTACACCTCTTGATTACTAAACTAATGCTCTTTGCACCGAAGGACATTGTGTGTTGGTGGCTGCCGTTGGTCTTTTGTCTGTAAGCCAAGGGGCTGCACGGCTGTTTTGCTGAGATGAAAGGATAGTTATTAAATCTGAATCCTCATTTGACACAGTTTCGAGTTGGGGTTTTCGGAGTGTCAGGGTTGCCTTCTAAGTGCCTGGCCCATGTGTCAGTCAAAAGGACGACAGAGACCTCTCATGTCAAGGCCGCAGTCTTCCACAGTTGGCACTGCTCAGGTGGGATGGGCAGGTAGCCCTGCGTGCTGCCGCCCGCCAGCTATGTAAGTGGGGGCCAGGCTGGGGGGGACCTTCAGCTTGCCACCCTCCCAGAGTTGCTATGTGAATGTTGCAGTCCCATTCAACTAACATATTTTGAGTATCCAGGACAGGGTTGTCTAAATGTCTGTAACCCCTTCCCTGAGATTCTGCCTGTCCTAACAGACACTCGGTGACTATCAATTGAGTGAGTGAATGAATGAAAAATGCATGTGAAAATGCCTGGCCTGGTAAATAGTAAAGTTCTCTGCAATTGCAAGGGGTCATTATTCTTATTATTATTTAAAATTTTATAAGCAAAGCAGCAGCTTGCTGTAGCGGGAAGAGCACTGAATTTAGAGTCAGGTTTGAAAGCTGGGGCTGTCCCTAACTACAGAAGGGAGTTGGGCAAGTCACTTAGTCTTCCAATCATTTATTTTTCCTTCTATAAATCCCTGTGGCCTTGCAGGGTTAGTGTGAGGATCAAGATAATTCGAGGAAGAGCTCTGTAAACTTTAGGGTGCTGTGGCTGAATTATAGTGAGTTGTATTATAGTAAAAATTGGCTTTACATTATAAAATTGACAGGACAATTGGAGACTGCAGAGATTGCTGTGTGCCTTGACTTAGGGTGCTTTTCTAGCCATCTGGTTTTTTTGGGATATTGTTAAAAAGTTGTTTGTGAGTAATAATTTTTTGGCAATTACAGAAAAATTGCTGAAAGCAATTTTTTAGAAAGAGGGAAGATAGGTTGAGTTTTTACCTTATGGTCAAAATTTGTAAATGACTCACTCTTTTCAATGAAAAACAGACATTTCACTTTCACATCACTGCTTCCAAAGTATTTCATCTCTTTCAGGATATTCACTAACTTGGCCTTACCCAAACATACCCAGGCTGAGAATTTCAGCATCTCTGTAAATGTGACCAGTCATCTTGGGTAACATTTTCTACCCATCTCAGAATCACCTCGTTCCCTTACCTATCATCAACTCTTGTTAGGTTTCAAAATTATTAGTCATTTAAAAAATGTCTTTTTGGTTTTTTAAAACAGATTCAACTGCAAGATAATTTCCTTGGAAAAGGAAATCAAGAATTCTTCTGTAAATATTGAGAGAGACGTCTGGTGATGTCTCAGATTCAGAAAAGAAATTATGTCAATTATCCCCCCCTGAAATGATGTTTCATGACACTCTTCTTCTTGGTCTTGGTTTTACTGTAAAACCCTGACATCCTATTTTCCTTAATGAGCAAATGCTGATAGCATGGAAATGTCCTTAGAAACAGCCATTTACCTCAGGGGAGGTCCCTGGAAGAGTTGCCGTGACTTGTGGTTGGTTTTTCCGATTGCTTGAGTTTTGACTTACAACAGATATTTTCAGATAATTCTGCAATTCAACATTCCTTTTAATTTTACACCAGGATTATTATTTTTCTCTTACAGAAAAATAAGTTGCATTTCAGGGGACAGTTTCATACAATGCTGGAGATTGTGCTAGGGCTTGGGAGAGCTGGCAAATCAAAAGTGTAAGCTACCTTATTGGGGAAATTGTAGTTCAAGAGGCTGGGTGGGCAACAGCCCTAGCTTGCCCATTTGGTCTTGTGTGACCCTAGGAAAACTGTTTAACCTTGATGAATCTCTGCTTTATACCTGTAGATCAGGACCTATTCATTTATTTGTTCATTCACTCATTCATTAATTCAAAGCAATTTATGTGCTTTAGAACTGTTGGAGATAAAATGGGAAAACTGACTCGAAAGTTTTCTGTAAACTATAAAATGGTAGATGAATGTGAAAGAATTTTGTTAATGCTTAGCCAGTGCTGTCCAATAGAAATACAATGAGAGACTGGCCGGGCGTGGTGGCTCATGCCTGTAATCCCAGCACTTTGGGAGGCCGAGGCAGGCGGATAACCTGAGGTCGGGAGTTCGAGACCAGCCTGACTAACATGGTGAAACCCCCGTCTCTACTAAAAATACAAAATTAGCTGGGCATGGTGGCACATGCCTGTAATCCCAGCTACTCGGGAGGCTGAGGCAGGAGAATCACTTGAACCCAGGAGGCGGAGGTTGCAGTGAGCCAAGATCACGCCATTGCATTCCAGCCTGGGCAACAAGAGCGAAACTCCGTCTGAAAAAAAAAAAAAGAAATACTATGAGAGCTGTGTATGCAATTTAAAATTTTCCAGCAGCACATTAAGAAAAGTTAAAAAAAAGAGGTACTATATTTTAATTATATATTTTAACTCAATATATAAAAATTGTTATTTCAACATACAACTAATATCAAAATTATTGAGATATTTTACTTCTTTTGGTACTAAGTTTTAAAAATTTGGTGTGTATTTTATATTTACAGCACATTTTGATTCAGACTAGCCATATTTCAAATGTTCAAAAGCCGCATCTGGCTGGTGGCTACTGTATTGGAACGTGCAGATCCGGACGTTTCCTGGCCAGAGTAGCCCGTTATTTTGTTGCCAATATCCACTTTACTGGTTCCTCATGGCTAAGCTTCTTTCTCTTTGGGTCCTAGGTATTATGAGACAGGAAGCATCAAGCCTGGGGTAATTGGAGGATCCAAACCAAAGGTCGCCACACCCAAAGTGGTGGAAAAAATCGCTGAATATAAACGCCAAAATCCCACCATGTTTGCCTGGGAGATCAGGGACCGGCTGCTGGCAGAGCGGGTGTGTGACAATGACACCGTGCCTAGCGTCAGTTCCATCAACAGGTGAGGGGCTCGTGCCTGTGGGGGTTGGGGATTTGGAGGGATGGCAGGGCATCCTGGAGGCTCTGCATGTGCCTTTCCTGAAGATCTGGTCTCTTTTTTCACCAAGGCCCCTTAGGGGTTACTGAACAGGAGGGATGCTAATGGGGCCTGCTCGGTCTCTGTTACCCTTCTCTTCTTTCCAAAGCAGGTAGGAGTCCTAGGCCCAGGGAGAGGGGAGCATGCCAACACCCTGGCCGCTCGAGTTTCTTCTGAGCCCAGAGTTATTTCCATCCCTCCCTTCACCACCCACCTATATGTGTGGAACACTTCACAGTGAATTGTCCTGACTAGATCTTCACAAATGTCGCTGTCCCTGCAAACCTAGGCTCAAGGTCTTAGCACTGGCCCATCTCAAAGATTCCCAGGAAGAAAATCCTTCCTCCAGTTTGGGCAGAGCTTGAGCCAGTGAGTGAGAGGAACATAAACCTGACTTGGAGTTGGGAGACTTGGCTCCTTGTTCCAGCTCTGCCACAAGCTCAAAGTGGGACCTTGACAAAGCTCTTCCTCTCTCTGAGAGCCCAGAACCCCAGTGGTTCTGATGTGCATCTTCAACTCCAGAGGTGTTGTCCAGGAGGCTAAGATGCTCTGGAGCAAAGGAGTTGCCCTCTCCCCAACTCATACATGGAATCTCACACAGGGAGAGAAAGAACCAGAGAAACACCCTGGGAGTCATGCACAGGATCTTCCTGGCAGCCACACAGCTCCCTTTCCTTTCCAGTCTGATCCAAGACACATGGAAGGGCGCTCTCAGAGCTTTAAAAATAAATGTATGGAAGAAAGTTTTCTGTTGTAGATGATGAAATTTCAACTCCATTTAAACCCAAAGAGTCAGGGATGAAGTTCAGAGATGAACAGAAATGATGGTTCTCTAAACTCTGCAGAGAAAAGAGAAGGGAGCAGCCTGAAAACTTGGACAGTTTCCATTTCTCCAAATCACACCCTACCATCATCAGTGCAGAGCTTGTGTGGGCGTAGGAGACCCTCACTCCTGGCAGAATGAGGTGGTCGGTCAGACTAGAATGAGAGCCTCTTGTCCTGATAGTGGATCCTTCTGTGATGATTCAAATGCACAGATCGCTGTGGGAGTGCATGTGTTCACATTTTGAGTCCTGCTATTTTGTAAATTGTTAGCCTGTTTTTCTTCTCTTGGCAAACCTTGACAGAGGCCCTGACATCATGCATGGTACAGGGGAGATAGAGGAGAATCAGGCACACAGTTTCTTGGTCTGTTCCAGAGGGGCTCTTTGTCCAGGGTGGGGTTCTGACATGCACTTAGAAGCCTGATGCACCTGGACAAAATTGCTGAGGGGATAGCAATGATGATGGTAGGTTTTGGGGAGGAGGGGATAACTCCTGTTCTTTTTATGGATTATAAGAGGCTCCATTGTGTTTTATGAGCCCCTTACTTCTGGCTCTTTGCGGGATTTCCACGACACAAAACAACATGACAGGCAGCTGGCCTGCTCTGCAGAGGAACATCAGCCAAACCCCTGGTCAGGCTTTGGGGACCCACAGGTTTCCCAACGTAGAGTACACATATAATTGGGGGTTCGCAAGATAACCTTAGGTAGTCCATGGGGGTCACAAAATCTAATGCCTTACATGGGGCCAGGCAGATAAGGTAATGAGGGAAGCAGGCCAGGCAAAAGACGATGGGGAGAGGTTGGGTCCCTGGCAAGCTAGGCAGCACAAGTCCGATTAAAGGGGCAGTGCTTCTTAGCTCCAGCCGAATGCTGCCAGGACCATGGGTCTGGTGTTTGCCAGATTTTTTGCATTCTTCAAGAGAAGGCAGAAGCTGGGGCTTGTGTAGATGTATGCATGGATATTTCTGTATGTGAAATCTCTATATTTAAATTAATTTTTTTTTTATGTAGAGATGGGGGTCTCCCTATGTTGCCCAGGCTGGTATCGAACTCCTGGGCTCAAGCAATCCTCCTACCTCAGCCTCCCAAAGTGCTGGAATTACAGGTGTGAGCCATCACACCTAGCTTAATCTATATATTTTTTTAACAGAGGCAACTAATTTCAATTAAAAATGCCTTGCAGGATGAGCATAACTTATTTACAGAGCATCGGTTTACATCCTCTATAATGCAAAGATGCAAGGGTGCACATTGTTTTCTAATACATTTATTTTAATGTATGTTAGAAAAACGTAAGTAACACACCAAACCAGTGAGTTTGTGAACTCCCCCTCAACACTCCCACCTACCCACTTACAGTAGGGAACTACAATTGCCTTATAAAATAAATTTATTTAAGTCAAAATTGAAGTGATGTGAAAGAAATGTATGAGGCAAATAGAGCAGTGGTTACAGATGTGGCAAAGACTGTGAAGGGGCATGGGATGTGTGGTCAAGAGAGATCACGGGCCCGCTGATGTTTTCTGCCTGGACCTGTGCTGTGGGGAATTTCTAACTGCTGTCTGTAGGGCCATGGCTAGCCTCAGGGGCGTCCTGAGTGTCCAGTCCAAAGCCATGGCCAGGCAGGCCATGCCTCTAAGGTGCTTTCATGTCTGTGGTCTCCTATAGTCCTTAAGGCTTGACTCTATCCTGTGGCAGTTGTAGCAACAGAGGCCAAGATGGAGAGTGCAGAGGAACAGTGACTTGGAGATAGACATGGGGGTAGAACCCAGGTTTCCCAACGGTAAAAGGAGGGCTAGTTTCTTTCCACCACTGCCCTGTAGGACTCTGCGAGTGACAGAACTGAGGATCTGTGAGATGAGAGACAAGAGGGAGGACAAGTATTTTCTTCTGCATTTCAGATCCTCGCGGGCTGCCCGTTCTGCTGCCTGGCTGCCTGCCCTCTCTCATCCTTAGCCTTCTCCAGTGCTCTTCACTGGGGGCTCCTTTTTGGGAGTATTCTCTGGCTCCTTCCTGCTCTCTTCAGTGACAGCTCACTAAGTGTAGGACAATCTCATGCGGCTGCCTTCCTCACCCCTAAACCCCCAAAGCCAGAGCCATCCCAGCATACAGTTTTATTTTTCAGATGAAGGCAAAGCTCCCACTGCATTCAGATGAATGCAGCTTCTAAATGCCTGCCTTGCAAATGACACTGTGTAAGAGGGTCCACATCTCTCCCAGCCCTTGCCTCCCTTGGAGGCAACTTTTCACCCTTTCTGATTTCAAACAGCTGGGGAGGGAGTGATGGCTGGATTTGTGGCTATTCTTATAGCCACAGGGGCATCTCCACGGTTCACCCCTAGGAGTATGTGACTTCCTGTTACCTTCCAGGGGACCAGCCTAGGAAACCATGACTGACAAGGGGTTAAGCATCACTGAACTAGTTCTGTTAGGCTTGTGGGGGATTTCCTGGGACACAGATCACCTTGTTCATTTGACTTCTTATGGACAAACGTGCTGGGAGGCTGCACAACCTGCAGGGATCGCTGGATCCAGTCTGAGTGTCCATTGGAGGTGGCCATCCCAAAGCTGACCCAAACGGTGGGTTGAATGGGGTCTTCCTTCTTCTATTCCAGCACCGTGGCCAAGGGGTGGGGAGTACAAGTGGCACTCCCAGCTTAGAGGGGCAGCTCTATTTAGTACCAACTGGTTGGGTCATGTGAGAACGTGAGGCCAGTATTGTTGGGTGTTCTGATTTTTCAAGAGAAGCTAGAATTCAGATATTTATGAAAAATCTCCCAACTTAAAAATATTAGCAACTAAGTCAAATAAAAACAAATATACTGTGCAGGCTAACAAAACTTGTCCCGGGCTGGAGGTGGCCCTGGGGAAGATGTTTTGTTAGTTCTGCTCTTAATTCTAATTTTGGTAGCAGGCCTTCTGAGATTGTTTATCCATTTCCTCTTTCTTTTTTTTTTTTTTTTTTTGTTTTTTTGAGACAGGGTCTCACTCTGTCACCCAGGCTGGAGTGCAGAGGCACAATCATGGTTCACTGCAACCTTGATCTCCCAGGCTCGGGTGATCTTCCCACCTCAGCTTCCCAAGTAGCTAGGACTACAGGTGCCACCACCATGCCTGGCTAATTTTTTGCATTTTTTGTAGAGATAGGGTTTCATCGTGTTGCCCAGGGTGGTCTCGAACTCCTGGACTCAAGTGATCCACTCACATCGACCTCTATCTGTGTCCTCTTTCTTCTCCACAACAGTCACAGGCCTGGGTGCCACCTGTGGGGCCCCTTGCAGCTTGGCACAGTTGGACCCCTGGGTTTTGAATTCTCGGCATAGCTGATGGCCCAAGCTTCTTACTGCACTGATGGCAGTTTGATCAGTGCCATAGATGTGGGTGTTTCTTCAGCCTTATCTTCCTGTTTCCTTTTTCAAGGCACCATGATTTTCTCTTTCACTGTAATTTTGTGAGGACTGGTGGTGGGGCGGGGGGCGTGGGATGATGGTGAGAAGCCTAGCCTTTCAAAGAAGGAAGAGTGATGTTTCCATGGGATCCTTAAATGCCACAAAGTCCCTCAGAGTTTTAAACCTCAAATTCTAAGTGGGTTTGAAATCCAAATAGCTTTTATGCCTCACATAGGAAGTATTTAGCAGAGGGACCGCGCTTCCTTTGAATGTGGCTTAAAGTAAAGTGCTGGGGCATGGGGGCTGGGAGTCTGGGCTGACTCGCTGTGCAATTCTGGGCAAGTCATTTGAGCATCTTGGGTTTTAGTTTCCTTATTCATAGGAAGAGTTTGATGCTGAGCTCCTTTCTCTGTTGGAACGTCTAGTGTGCTCTGCAGTACGGCAGCCAGGGTCCTGCTCACGCTCAGCAGGTAAGGGACGGGCAATTTGGTGTGACTGCCAACTCAGCCCAACTGTCCCTGGCTTAGAAAAGGTCCTGAGTGTGTTCTTATTGGATGAGTCTTGACAGCCTGTCATATTTAAAATTTAAAATTTGTTTAGAGTTGTTATGATTCAATTACAGTCTTGTTCTTCCCACTACAGTTTCTTCTCAGTGTAAGCTGATGCTCTTTGTTTTTACTTGGTGACTGCTAAAGGCAGATGAGCAAAATCTCTCACCCCTGGGGGCAGCTTCAGAGGCTTGCCTATAACTCTGAGATCCCCCTTTATAAAGGACAACCCTGATGCATTCTTAAAACAGTGTGAGAGTGGCTACCTTCCCCTCCCCAGCTTCCAAGGGGGCCACTTGTGCTTTATTATTATTATTATTTTTAATTTTTATGGGTGCATAGTAGGCATATATATATATATTTATGAGTACATGAGATATTTTGGTACAGGTATGCAATGAGTAATAACCCACCATGAAAAATGGGGTATGCATCCCCTCAAACATTTATTCTTTGTGTTACAAACAACCCAATTACACTCTTTTAGTTATTTTTAAATGTACAGTTAAATTATTACTAACTATAGTATCCTCATTGTGCTATCAAATACTAGGTCTTATTCATTCTTTCTATTTTTTTGCACCCATTGAGCATCTTTACTCCCCCACCGCCCTCGCCTTGTGCTTTTTAAAGCAAATGTGAAAAATATGAATATTTTAAGACGGAAGCTAGTCATTAATCTTTACAAAGACACCACTGAAAATAACATCTTACATTTAAGGAGCACCTAGTATGTAGCTACCACTGTTTTAAGTAATTCATTAATTTAATCCTAATAGTAATCCTATGAGATAGAAATGATTCTTAGTCCCATTTGCAGATGAAGAGACTGAGGCATAGAGAGGTTAAGTAATTTACCCAAGGTCATGTAGCTGGTAAATTGTAAGAGGGATGGGATTCAAACTCTAGTGGTCTAGTTCCAGAGCCTGTACACTGTGCTACTGCAGCCTC
Organism: Homo sapiens; assembly: GCF_000001405.40. Taxonomy (NCBI): domain Eukaryota; kingdom Metazoa; phylum Chordata; class Mammalia; order Primates; family Hominidae; genus Homo; species Homo sapiens. The sequence continues at coordinate 37,009,206 of NC_000009.12, read as the reverse complement.
TTAATGATTTATAACAATTGATAATGCTTTCCCAGTGATATTTATAACTATTTTAAAAGAAAATGAGGAAAACATAATTTTCTTTGCTTTTTTACATACAAATTTAATAGTCAGACAATGATTTGAAAAGTAAGGATTTTAAGCTGAACTACAGTGACTTTTTTGCCATATATTTATTTGTAACTATATTTATGTCTGGTATATCCATATATTGACATATCCAGCAATATCTCTGTAGACACATACACACAGAGAAAGTGACATACACAAAAATATAAACATTAGGTCAGATGCCAGCTTACTTCCAGGTGACCAAAAAGAGAACCTCACTCCCAGAACTGGACATTTTATTATGACCCACTCTTCTCCCAAATGCCATGAGTTTTCTGGTTGTCCAATATGCTTCGAGTTTGCTTAGTTAAAATAAGTGGTTTGAATATTAGGGAAAACAAACAAACAATCTGAATGTATTTGAGGGAACACTTAAGCTGACTGATTAGAAAAGGGCAAGAGGCTCCTTGCTGAGCTCAAGTAGCCAGGCTCCAGATGGCCTGTGTGTGTGTGGTGAGACTATAGGGTGAACAGAAAAGACCATTTCAGGCTATCAGCTGAGGACACGGACTGCCCTTGGTGCCGAGCACCAAGCTGTAAGATCAGAAAGGGCAGAGAGGCTACTGCCCATTGAGTTTAAGGGGAGGCACCCACCTGCTACTTCTGTCATTCTTCATTTGTATAAGCTGGAGACCCAGTGCAGCCTCAGAATAAACTTTCAGATATTAATGGTCTGGAATGTGAAAAAGCTTCTCACAGAATGTTGCATGAAAAGAGCAGGCTGCAAAACTGTATACATGGAGGCTGAGTGCGGTGGCTCACGCCTGTAATCCCAGCACTTTGGGAGGCCGAGGAGGGCCGACCACTTGAGGTCAGGAGTTGGAGACCAGCCTGGCTAACGTGGTGAAACCTCTTCTTTACTAAAAATACAAAAATTAGGCAGTGGCATGCGCCTGTAGTCCCAGCTACTCGGGAGGCTGAGGCAGGAGAATCAGTTGAACCCTAGGGGCAGAGGTGGCAGTGAGCTGAGGTTATGCCACTACACTCCAGCCTGGGTGACAGAGAGAGACTTCGTCTCAAAAAGAAAAACAAAAAAGCAAAAAAACAAAAAAACTGGGCATGGTGGCGCATGCCTGTAATCCTAGATACTTGGGAGGATGAGGCAGGAGAATCACTCAAACCTGGGAGGCGGAGGTTGCAGTGAACTGAGATCGCACCACTATACTCCAGCCTGGGCAACAGAGCAAGACTCTGTCTCAAAACAAACAACCACCACAACAAAAAAAACTGTATACATGGCATAATCCTGATTTTGTTAAGAGAAAAATGGATATTTCTAAATATGCCCAGGAATGTTGGTATAAAGGAAATACACCAAAATACCGTTTTTAGATGTCTTCTTTATACTTTCCCATACTGTCCAAAGAGTCTACAATGAACGTATATTACTGTTATAATGAGAAAAAACTCTAATAAATGTCCTTTCAAAAGGTAATAGTTTGAGACTGGAATATAACTTTTCCAAAGAAACCGGACATTTTATTATGACCCACTCTTCTCCCAAATGCCAAGGAAGGAGCTTTCTGGTAGATCCGAAGGAGCTTTTCGCGTGGCCCTGTTCTGCTGCTCTCAGATGCGCCGGACTTGCTGTCTTGCGCATGCGTGGTCCTTGCTGGACGTCTACAAACTCTTCAGAGCCTAAGGTTCTGCAGAAGGATGTTAGAGCGGTCAGATGGCCAAGGGAAGGCAGTACTGCTATTATCTCTTTTATGTACGGGGTTTTTCCATAAGATCTTTTTTCTTTTCCGAAAATGATTTGGTTACTTAAAATAAGCAGAGTGGTCTGTTCCAACTCCGTCATTGTATCGGAGGTCCACAATGGAATGTACTTGGTCAAGGTCACAGTGGAATTTGTATTAGAGTGTGAGCAAGGTCTCTGAAAAGACAGGCCAGGATATCACTGGCTCCAGCCCTGTGGATCCTTTCTGTGAGGTTTGGTGCAAGGTAGGCTTCCTCTTAAGAAAGCCAAACCGGATGTCTCCTGGCTGCACTTTGACTCTCCCTAGTATCAGAACAACATATACATCCCCTCCCTTGGCAACTTCCTAGGGGAAGGGGTGTTATCCCTCCTTATGCGTTCTCTAGGGCAGAGAAACCAGCACGTGAGCGCTGCCAGAGGACAGAGAGATTACCAAGTTCAGTTCCTTCATTCCACATATAGGAGGCTGAGGTCTAGGAAAGGGAAGGACTCCCTAAAGTCACTCAATGAGTCTCTTATGGAGCTAGAGCTATACTCGAGAAAGGGATGCTTACTCGTAATGTTAACACATCATCCTCTTTCTTCAGAAGAGGCACTTGAAGCCCAGAGAGGGGGTGCAAATTACACAAGGAAACAAATTACACAGGGAAACAGAAGCAAAGTTGGGACTAGTCCATAAACCTTCCACCCTCCTGATTCCAGCCTGGGTTTATAATCTCCCTCCACCTCTGCCCCTCTGCCTCAGCTCGAACCATGGCCCAGCTTGGGTATGAGTTTTCTGGTTGTCTGTGCATAGCTGGTTGAGGTCTCTTCTCCTTCCTGATGGTAAATAGCAATTTTGTTTTTCAACTGCCCACAGGATCATCCGGACAAAAGTACAGCAGCCACCCAACCAACCAGTCCCAGCTTCCAGTCACAGCATAGGTAAGAGGAACTTTTAAAAAAAATTTAAAAATCTAATGGGCTCCAAATATTCTAAAGAACTTTTAATCATTCTTATGGACAGATAATTCTGCATAAAACACTTCAGCACACGTACTAATGCGCCTTCTTTGTCATTCTCCAAGGGCTGAACCTGGTAAATGAATTTTATAAATACTGCTAAAAGGTTTTGAATTTTACTGATTATTATGATAAATAGCTTTCACCATGAGACAGAAAATTGAAATCTAAGCCAAAAAAAAATCCACTAATGGGGGTCTATAGAATGTCAGATAATTAAAGTAATAAATCAAGAAAGGGATACTTATTCATAACATTTTCTGCATCATTAGTCAGTAAGTAGTTTTGAATGTGTTTTTTTCTTCTATCAACCAGCCCTTCTACAATTCTTTGTGCACTTGCAGTCTTGAGTGAAGATGTGGCAAAAGTTCCCAAACTTACTTTCTCTCTCTCTCTTGCTTCGATCTCATGAACTCTATGAACTGTCAAGGGCTGCCAGTGGGGTTTCCAGTGCTCGCAGGTGACGTCTGAGAGTGGCTGTGACCCGACAGAGTGGGAGTCATACTTCCTAGTGCTCAAGAGTTCAGAAATGTCCTTTGTCTTCCCTTCAAAGATTGTGAAATGACATGTGTCTATTTAAGGTGTATTATTTCTCCACTTGGGATACAGGAAACACCGCTGGTTAGCTGGGGGAAAAGTTATTGTACTATATAAGAAAGTGGGCAATGATTTAGCAAGTCTCTGACACTTCTGGTTGCCACAGTCAATCCTGCAGAATCACACCTCAGATTGTGTAACATTTCCACACTTTTGTTATTCCTTCTTTAACTGAGAACTTGAACTCACACGGTGATGGGGAATGGGCAGAGTCCTGGCCTCCAGTTCCAACTTTGTCATTACCTCACCCAGTAAAATGTAAAAGTTCTCTCACCTCCCTGAGCCTCAGTTTCCTCATTTGTGGGTGGAGGGGCACTAACCAGGTGCTCACTGAGGCCTCTGATCCTCCATGGTTGGCTCTTTGGATAAAGGTAAGACAGATTTCCTCCCTGCCATGAAATAATTCCTCATTTAGTAATCCCTTCAGAAAGTGTCTGCTAAGTCCCTGCGGTGCAGACCTTGGCATCAGAGGCCAAGCCTATAAGAAAGGGAAGACAAAATCCCCATTCTCAAGGTAAAGGGGGAATATAATGAAGAGAAGTTTGCAAGACAGAGATGAAGCTCAAGAAGAAGGGATGGGTGCTGTGGGGGCAGAAGGAAAGGAACCACCAGCTCTGCTGGGCTAGGGTGAAGAGGGTGAAGGAAGGCTTCCTGGGGGAATGTTTGTGGCTGAGATTTCACTTGTAGCTGACCAACTATTTCAGGTCACATAGCACTGAAAATCAAATGGGTATAACTGCTAATATTCTTTCATTTGGTTTAGAAGAATAATTCTACTGTAGGTCAGCAGCATGTTTTGTTCTGTCCCAGAAATTTTTAAATTAAACTACATCTCGCATACATATAGCCCCTTAGAGTTCACAAACTTACCGAGGAGTGAGGAAACTGAAACTTACAGAGATGAAATAACTAGCCCTAGGTCATGTTGCCAGTAAGTGGTGGGGCCAAAAGTGGAATCTGGGTCTTTTGAGCCTAGCGCAATCACAAAACACCAAAACGAATGTCATGGGCTCTGCCAGCAACATGGTGAGCTTTGGTTATATATGGTGGTTGTTGTTTAAAGTACCAAGTGACCTGGGATCTTCTTTCTTCCTCTGTTTTTTACATGTTAATACAGAAAAGGTTGTGGGATTTGCATAAATCTATTTTAAGGAGCTTCTTCTGGTGAAGAAAAAGAGAAGTTAACGATTTCTGCCTCTGTGTCTCTTAAGGAAGATGTGAGATCAAACTGAAATGTGAGAAGAAAGGCATGGCTCCCTCTAGGTTTGTAGGAGCCAGGAGCTGGATCTGCTCCAAAGGGAAGCCGTGAAGGGCTTCTCAGGCAGTCACCACCATTTCTAGTGATTTCCTACTCTTAAGAGTCAAAGGTGGCTCCACCTGCCTCCAGCTGGTTATAGCCCAAGGAAGTGTGTCTGAGATTGGTCTGTAGGTTTTAATGAATCAAAAAAGAATTCCCACAGCCCAGAAATGGCAATTCAGCTGTACAGCTGGAGAGGCCCCTGCTGATGGACTGGTCTCTCCCTAGGAATCTGGGGCCAGAAGTTAATGTGAAACTTGCACAAAAGTTGCCCCCCACCTCCCATCCAATTCTTATTCTTAGGAACTTTGAGACCTAGCCTCAGTCACAATAAGTCACCAACCACTGCCCCTATTTCTGGGCGGGGGAAATCTAGACTTTAAGTAAGTAAACCCAAGGCTAAGTTCTGGTGCCGCTGTTTATTAGCTAGATGACTTTGAATCACTTTCCCTGTGGAGCCTCAGTTTCCTTATTTGATAAATGGGGATAAATAATAGCACTCTGGGCTGTTGCAATCATCAAATGAAAAGTACTGCATTCATGTGAAGTATATTATTGCTCTTCATTGTTTATTAGTGCGAAGCAGATTAGTTATAGGGTTTGAGGCTTTAGTCTCTGGGTTCAAATCACCACTCTGTCTCTTTTATTTTTTATTTTTATTTTTGAGACAGGGTCTTGCTCTGCTGCCCAGGCTGGAGTACAGTGGCACAATCATAGCTCACTACAACCTCGACTTCCTGGGCTCAAGTGATCCTCTTGCCTCAGCCTCCCAAGTAGCTGGGATTATAGGCTTGTGCCACCACACCTGGCTAATTTTTTTTTAAAGTTTTTTGGTAGGTCTTGCTATGTTGGCCAGGCTGGTCTTGAACTCCTGAGCTCAAGTGATCCTCCCACGTCTGCCTTCCAAAGTGCTGGGATTACAGGCGTGAGCCCCGGCACCAGGCACTCTGCCTCTTATTAGCTGTATGATCCTGGGTGAGCCACTTATCTTCTCTGAGTTTTACCTTTCCAATAGGATTATCACATTTCCTAGCTTCTAAGATTGTTCTCAGAATTAAATGAGATAATGCCTCAATGCCTGGCACAGAGTAAGTTCTCAGAAAATGTTAGTTATTGTTATTGTCATAATTAATATTAAAATCAAATCGGGGGAAACTGGAAGGAGAAAAGGCAGCAAGAAAACTATAAAAAGAAGGGGCACTCTGCGGTTTGGAGTTTGTTAGCCGTGCGCGTGAGTTTGTGCTCAGGTAGTTGTGTTTGCACCCAAGGTTGGGTTGGGTGTGCAGGCAGGTGGTGAAATGCCTAACGAGTAGTTCAGGTTTTTTTTTTTTTTTTTTTTTTTTTTTAAGCACTGACTGTTGGTGGGCCCCGGCTCCCCTCTTTCTCCTCTCCATCCCCTGCTTCCTGCATCCATGGATAGGCTGGAATTTAAGCGAAAGCCCTTCCTGTCCCCGTGTCCCCGTGTTCCTTTCTGCAGGGGTCAGTCCTTCTCAGTGCCCACCCTTCCCTTTCTCCCCCCATCGCAGAGAACTGGGGCACACGGCCCGCCCGAGGCCTGCGCTCGTGGCTCAGGTGTGGCCGCCTCCGCAGAGCGAGGGTCCTCAGCGCCCCCTGCCCACCCTGCGCTCGCTCCCTCCCAGCCGCCCCCAGCCTCACGTGCGGTGACAGCCGGTCCGCCGCCCTCAGCCCTCTGCGGCCCTGACCGCCCGTCTTTCTCCGCGCAGTGTCCACTGGCTCCGTGACGCAGGTGTCCTCGGTGAGCACGGATTCGGCCGGCTCGTCGTACTCCATCAGCGGCATCCTGGGCATCACGTCCCCCAGCGCCGACACCAACAAGCGCAAGAGAGACGAAGGTAAGAGAGGCCCGCGCAGCCCCGTCGGGGATGCGCTCCACGGGGTCTGTTTCCGGCGCTCGGTCGCGGGTGGCAGCAGAGGTGCCCGCGAACACCCCCCTTACCTGCAGAGGAGCGAGTCCCCCGGCCCGCACGCTGTCCTTTTCGTGAACACGGGAAAGGGCTGAGCCCTCCGCAAGACAGACAGGCAGCAGGGTGAGACTGTGGCATTCTTGCTGGCCTCCCCCATGGTCACCCCTTGGATAGAAGCAGCGGGCCTGGCAGAGCCCTTGTGGCCTGAGCTTTGGCCTTTAAGAAGACCCTGTGTGCGTGCAGATATGCGGCCCGAGGGCAGGGTGTGCTGGGCTCCACACCCAAGTCCACTTTGTGGAGGAGCTTTGGACCAGAGAGAGGGGGCTGGCCAAACCGTGAGAGGGGCACACGTGCGGAGGGCGGAGGGGTGGGTTCTCTGAAAGGCCCTGCACACGTCTCAGCAGACAGAGAAGGCCTTCAGCCCTGATGATGGTGTTGGGGGGCGGTGCTGAGGAAATTAATAATCATCTCATCTTTGTCCTTGGGTCTGGAAGGAAGAAGTGCGGGGGTGTTGGGGGGGATTACAAAGATGACAATCTTCCCGGTTGGTTTTTCTCAGCCCCTCCACGGGCCTGGCCCTGTGGTGCCTGGGTCTCCAGAGCCAGCCACCTCCATCCTGGACACCGGACACCTTAACTGGGGCTCCTTTCCCCTGTATGGGCTGCCAGTACTGGCTGACATTAATGGGTTTGAGAGGAGAAAAGACCCCCTGGGAGCCTGTAAAACCTTAGTCAGGAAAAGAAAAAAAAAAAAAAAAAAAAAAAAGCCAGAGCTGTGGTCTAGGGCCTGAGAGCAGCATGACAGAAATCTTGATTCAATTATTCTGTTCCTCAGCACAATTCCCTTTCTCAGCTCTGTGTAAGGGATGTGTGTTCTCATGAGCACATGCCTAAGTACTTAAGATCTGTAACTAGAAAATTGAGTCGGCCCAGCCGTGGATTGGCCTGTGGTCTGCGTGTTGCCAGCAGTGCAGAAGCAGAGCCGGTGGCCTCGGTTTGGAACCGTGGGGGTGTGTGGGGAAGATTTGCGGCTTTTGGAACCTGCCTTGCCTCTCTCTTCTGCTCCTGCTGCTCCTGAGCAGATGTCAGACGTCTTTAACTCAGTAGGCTGCGGTGCTGTGTTGCTGCAGGAGGCAGTGGGCCTGCCATCTCTGTTGTTTTATGAGGTTGATGGTATCATCTTTTCTCCCATTGTCACCTGGACTCGCAGCAGATGTGCCTAAGCTGGGGCCTGGATGTATTTGTTCACGGTGGAGGGACAGATTGTGTGAGACTCCCCCAGAGGCTGAGGGATCCAGGTGGAGATTTTTGGGGAAAGAGAAAAGCTAGTTTGATGTTTACCACCAAACAGACAGGTTCTGGCCTGGGGGCATTATTTACTTTGTTTTCGGAGTGCTATATTGGCTTGCAGTCTGACCAGCAGTCATGGTTTTGCCCCTCAAGCTCCTTTACAAGGTATAGCGTGGTCAGAATGTGGGTGGTGTTGGTCTTGACTACTCCGTACTACTCAGATCATGCCCGGAGGAGGACTGCAGCCCATTTGGGGGTATTGACCTTTAAGAGGGACGGTGACAAATGGGATTGTGTCCTGGGCGAAGAGGGATCTGATACAGCATCTGGGAACACCTCAAGCCTCTAGGGATATTTTGGCACAAAGAAGAGCAGAATAAGCGAGACTGGATTGCTGCCTTCAAGTATTTGGAGGGCTGACATGGAAGGAGGAAGGAATGAGATCTCATTGCATGGCCTTAAAGTGTGTGGCTGATGCAGAGGTGATTTCACCTCAGTTTAAAAAGAACCAAGTTGCACATATGAGAGTGGCCTAGGATAAAAGGAGATGCCTCGGGAGGTAATGAGTGCCCTATCTCTGGGGATATGTAAGCAGAGACTAAGTGGCCACTTGTTGGGCTGCCAACAGAGTATCAAGAATCAGATGTGGTATTGGATGATCTTTTTTACTTTTTAATTAAAATTTTTTTCTTAATAAATAGACACGGTGTTTTGATATGTTGCCCAGGCTCATCCTGGACTCCTGACTTCAAGTGATGTGCCTGCCTAGGCCTCCCAAAGTGTTGGGATTACAGGCATGAGCCACTGTTCCTGGCCTGGGTGATCTTTGAAATCTTTCCAGTTCTGATATATATGGTAGAGTCCTGATCCTCAGGAAGACTTAGGGGGCAGTCCAGTCAGTGGTCTGTGGTAGAAGGGAGAATGACTTGATGGTCCTGGAAGCTTATAGGAGTGGAAAGAGTGGGGGACAAACCCAATCAACCAGAGCCTCCCCCTAACTCCTACCCCACACCACTGAGAGTATGCACGTTTGATCCCAGGGGTGGGCAGCAATGGCCGGGCTCACACCAGGGAAGTGTCTGTCGGGGGTATTGCATAAGTGCCCCCTTCTGATGTTTCCCATCCTCTCTCTGTATCTCTCTGGATTCCTGCAGTGGCCCTAGGGGGAGGTAAAGAGGCAGAGACTGTCACTTCCGTTTTACTAGGGGAGGGGATGGAGGCTACACAGCCATACAGCTGGTATGGACTGGGGAGTCAGGAGGAGCTGGAGTGCTCCTGAGGCCTCAGTTCCCTGGTATTTTCCAGCTACCTGTTGTCCCTCAGCCCTTTCAGAGATGCGCTTTGGAGGCGGAGCAGTCTGGGGCTGGGCAGAGCCTGGGGCCAGTATGGGGAAGAGTTTCAATCAGAAGGGCATGATTAGCAGGTTGGATGCGGAGAGAGAAGTGAGACCTGAAGGCCAGAGGTTGGAGGAGAGCAGAGAAAGTAAGAAGCAGCCACTGGGGAAACAGGGATATTTCAGGCACACTGGCCGGCTGGCCCATGGCAGCTGCAAACCATGGATTTGTGAGGGTTCTGGCCTCCAGTGCGGTACCATCAGCAGCCTGAGAGAAGAATCATGGGGTAAGAGAGGCAATGGAGAGCTAAGAGGAAGACAGCTGAGGGTCCTTGCCCATTTTTCGGATGAGGTGACTGAGGCTTTGCAAGGTGGAGTTGCTTACTCTGCTGCCTAGTTCACAGTCATCCCCAGCTTAGACTTGAGTTTTGCTCTGAGGGCATTTCCTGGGGCCACCCTCCTGCCCAGATCTTGCAGAGGTGAACGGGTGATAGGATCCAACCACAGAGGGTAAGGTGGCGAGCAAGACTGGCAAGCTGAAATTCCTCTGATGAGGAGGGCAGTGGGTGAGGTGACACTGGGGGAAAGAGTAAGGCAGGGAGGGCCAGTTTTGACCAAAAGGATCTTGGGGGCTCCTCATAGGAGGTGGCATTTGAGAGCTGGGTAAAGGGAGGAGAGGGCATTCCAATCAAAGGCAAGAGAGATTGTGCCAAGTCTGGGACTCTGGTGAGCATGTGCAGGGAGAGGACCAGCACGGCAGGATTTGGAAAGGGAGAGAGGTAGAGAGATGTGGGTGGCTTAGACTTTGACGGAGGCTTTCGAACATTTAGTCTAGAAGCATTTAGGGAGATAGTTTTGAGCTATGTGTCTCAGATGCTCAAGAAACATTCACTCTGCTGAGTGTTTCAGGTAAAAAGATAACATGACAGTGACTAGCCCTGCACTATCCAACAGAAGCAGAATGCAAGCCACGTGTAATTTTAAATGATCTAGTAACTACATTAAAAAGAGTAAAAAGAAACAAGTGGAATTAATTTTAATAATATATTTTATTTAATCCAGTATACCCCAAATATCATCATTTCAACATGTCAGCATATAAAAAATTTGATGCTATATTTTCTCTTATTTTTGCTGCCAAGTTTTTGAAATCTGGTGTGTATTTTACACATGTAGTACATCTCAATTTGGATGCGAAACGTTTGACAGTTAAAGTTAGATGTAGTCCTACCAAAACAATAAAGCTGTGTTTAGTGGGACAAATATTTTACACTGCTTCTATTTTAAAATTAAAATTAAAATCAAATCAAATAAAAAAATTAGCTCCTCGATTGTACTGGCCACATTTCAAGTGCACAGTAGCTACATAGGACTAGCGGCTGCTGTATTGGACAACACAGCTCTAATACAAGTGCTTGGCACATAGTAGGTGCTCAGTAAGTGCTCCTTGGTAGAGTGGATCAGTCACATTCCTTTAGAGGGTTCACAATTAGTAACGAGGGTGAGTGGAGGGACCTCTACTATCCTCAGTCAAGGGTGCTTTTGTTTGGTATTTTGGGCTTCCATAGAAAGCTCCGAGTAGAGTTCTGGAGCAAAGACAAACAAACTAACTAGAATATTGTTAGGCCAGTGGATTGGCGAAGGGCCCTTTCAGTATAGAGATTCTAGAGTTCTTCCTAGGATGCCTGCCTCCAAGACCAGACTCGGGTATATGGCCACTATGTCCAAGTCTCAGATGAACTGTTCTTCAGCAGCAGGTAAGATCTCTGTGGCCTCTGGAGGAAGAGCTGGGGCTGGTTAAAGGAAGCTGCAGGAGGCAGATTATGGCTGAATGCAACATATGGCTTTCAGAAGCAGCCAGGCTGGGCCAAGAATGGAAGCTTTATCTTAGAAAGGTAGTGAGCTCTCCATCATCAGAGGTGTGAGCAGGCGCTGGACAAATGAGGAGCAGAAGAGTCAAGGATGACATTCTGGTTCGGACTCTGTGACTTTTGAGGCAGGCCTGTTCTAGCCTGGGTGGCCAATGCTTCTGTGCCAGTACTGTGTCTGCAAGTGCATCTACCCACTTGTCTTTCCCTTCTGCTGCCTGACCCTGAGGCTGCCACTCATGTGGACTTGACAGGGCAGGGGCCACAAATCATTTCTATCCCCAGCGCAGCCTCTCGGCACAGCCCCGGTTCACACGGATGCCTGGGAGGCCTGCGGGATGGCTCTGAGGGTCAGGCTGGGGTGCCACCCAGTTATGAGATGTCGCTTTGTCTCTTGGTTGGTTTGAACTGAGAGCTTTCGTCGAGGAAGCTGTGGCATGGCTCAGGAATCCTGCTGGGTGAGGGGAATGGAGGCTGAGTCAGCACCTCCCTCTCCGGAAGGCCCAGAGGAGGTGGTGGCAGGGAGAGACTTGGCAAAGCAGGCAGGGCTGTGAATAGCGGCCATGGGTGAAAGGGCAGCCTCAGACCCTGGGTTCCTTCCTGGGCTTTTGATCTCTAGTGAGACCTCCTTCCGCCGCTCTCCCCACTTAGGTCCCCTCCCTGTCCCCCTCACAATAACTCACAGGGCCCTGAGTTTGAAAGGCCCTGAACACACTGAGGTCAGCGGAGTGCGAATCCCTTTCACCAGTTTAGAAAGCTGACCTGTCCAGCCAGTGTGGACTGTGGGGGCCAGAGGTTTCTTTTTGGGCAGTAGGGGTACGTTGCAAGTGAGTTTCCAGCCTTCTGGGCTCTGGACTACCTTCTAAGGAGGGCACAGGAAGGGCAGCCAGGGTTCAGAGGTGGCCTGTCCTTTCCAGAAGATGCCAAGTCTGATGAGACTCTCATGGGGAGGTTTGTTGGGGGGCATTTAGCCAGGTGCTCCCATTATGACTTCCTTTTTGGGGATGCCTGTCTCCTGTCTGTTTTTGTGTCTCTCCCCATGTCTTTGGGGGTGCATCTCATTCTGTGTTATTTGGCTTTATTTCCTGTTTATTGAACCTTCCTCTGTGTCTGTTTCTGTCTCCCGGTCTAGCTCTCACTAGCTTTCTTTTTCGTACATACTCTCTCTCACACACACACTCTCTCTCTCCCTCTCCTTCTTCTCTTTCTCTCACACTCATTCACTCATTCAATTTCCTTTCTCTCTTGCTATCTCTCTCTCTCCCCAAATCCCCTCTTCCCCTGTCTCTTTCAGGCTGGACGCCCCCTCAGCCCTGCCCAGCAGACCTCCACGGGAGCTATGGCCAGAGGGAAGGGGCTTCAGAAGCTCACAGACCGTGCTGGGGCCCTGGGCCCCTCTGACATGGGCAGGTCCTGGTCTTTTCTCTCCTAGGACCCTTTTCCTTCCCTGGATGCATAGATGCTGTCTGCTGCTCCCGGGATGAGGGCAGAAAACAGAAGCAGGAAGTGGGGAGAGCCCTCTCAGAGCTCCCAGAAGGGATGGGTATGTGGAAAAGCTCAGGATTCCTGAGTCAGGAGTAATAGGCAGCCCCTGTGGGATTGAGAGTTCACAGATCTCTGATCCCTGGAGAGCCCCAAATAAGGTGTTGAGTCAAAGGCACAGGCTCATGGGCAGGGATGAAATGGTTTGAGGACTTCTTGTAGCGAGTTACTTAATCTCTCTGCACCTCCATTTTGTTATCTGGCGAATAGAGTTGACGCAAGCCTTGTGGGTTACAGTGAGAATAAAATGAAGTGAAGTGACAGCTGCCAAGGGCGTGGCCCCAGGGCCTGGCTGTAGTCAATGCTGAGTAGATGGCCACGGAGAGGCCTATGTTTGAGGACGTGAGGCCCGTCATGGCAGAGGGCAGCAGGCTTTAGCCACGGTCCTGTTGGCAGCTGGAACTGGCTGGTTCGCCCACCACCACCTTCCTGTTTGGAGCTGTGGAGCCACGGAGCGATTCCATAGTACTGAAGAAGCCGATTGCCTGCAGCCGGGAGCCCGGGGCATCCAGGCTGAACAACAGTGCCCCCAGGTGTCGGCTGCAGAATGAAGGGCCACTCACTTTCCTCCTCCTTTGCCTTTAGGAAGCTGAGTCTCCCAGCCTGCTTCATGGCAGAAGAAAAGGGTCAGGCCCCAGTTTTCCCTGAAGAGAGGCACAGGGAGCACAGGGGGGTGGAGGCCTCCAGGGTGGGGGCAGAGGGTAGCACCCTGGGCCTGGGAGGGCTGGGCGTCTGAGGGGTTGTTGGGGCCACCAGCCTGGACCTCGAGACTCCCCCATGGGAGCTGGAAGGGCCTTGGAGAGCACCTGAGACGCCCCGCTCCGTCATTCGCATGGGAAAACAGGCTCAGAGAAGAGAGGCGGTCTGCCCAGATCACACAGCAAAACCCCCAAAACCTAGAGAGAGAGGATGGCTCTGTGGAAAATCCTTGGCATCCCTTGCCTTTCGATGTGATAAATTCAGTTTTCCTCTCCCTCCTTTCCTCCATTCTCACAGGGCCGTCCGCCATCCCCACTGTTGACAGCCAGCCCCATCAGTCTTATCTCCCCATGGGGTGCTGCCCACACGTCCCCCCGCACTGACCTCAGTTCTTGAGAGAAGCCCTGCCCTTCTCTCGCGGGCCTCCCTTTCCTCCTGCTCATTCCTCCTGTGCCTCCAGTCCCTGTGTGTTGGCTCAGCTTCCCGTCTCCAGGCCATTGCCCACTCAGGGCCTGCCACCTGGAATGCTGTCCTTGAGCCTGGACCTGGCCTGGCTTTCTGGAACCAGCCCACTCCCCTGTGGGGATTTCCAGTGTTGGGTCATTGGTCCTTCACAACTGGCTGAGACCCAAGGATTCTTTAGGGTCCAGTGTGGAGTATGGGTGAACAGGCAGCCTCTCCATCTCCTTTTCCCAGTGTGGCTTTGGGGGCAGGAAGGAGGTTACCACCATTTTGTCTTGGCCTCTGCTGGGGCTTTCCAAGGGCAGGTCCCCTCCCTGGCCCTCTGTGTGCTGTCCCCTGGATGTAGAGAGGTGTCTACATGTCCCCTCATGTAGAGAGGTGGGTTGTTACCTGAGTTCTCTTTTTGTCTAGGAAGGAGTCAGGACCAAGGTTCTGCTGGGGTGTGGTCGTGGTGGGGGCATCACGTAGAACCCAGGGGGGAATTGGCAGCCTGGTAGCCATGCTTTCCTTGGCTTGCCCTGTATTGATGATGATTTTGAATTAGTTACCAACATTGCAAAATCAGGAAATTTCATGTATGGATGGATGCCTGGCTTCTTTGGGGAAGAAAAATCAGATCTGGCAACCCTGGGGCAGCTGGCAGCCTGGCAACCCACAAGGCAACAGTCATCTGGGGCTGCTGGGCCCGAGTTCTCATGCGCTCCCCGCTCAAGTTGCTCTCGGCACTTGTGCTCTGTTTTCCTTGGCCTGAAGGTCTTTGAGCTTCTGGAGTCTTAGCATGAACTCTAAAGAAACCAGTTTGGCTCAGTCTCTGCCTGTGGCAGCTGAAGCTAATGGGAGGCAGATCCTGGAACTGGCCGGTGGGGCCGAGTGTGCGTGCGTGTATGTGTGTGGTCAGGGAAGTGGGTAGTCAGGCTTACAGGCCAGAGGTGGGTAGGGTAGCGGAGGCAAGAACTTAGGGCAGTGGCCAAGCAGCCACACTCCTTGGCAGGTCATGTGCTCTATACCCTGCAGGTAGGGTAGTCCAGGCACAGAGGGCGCAGGCTTGGCCCAAGGGTATGCAGGGGGCAGTTAGTGGCAGAGATGGTGAGGACCTGGTTTCCATCTCCCTGCCTGGCGGGCCACTCTCCCCTGTGATCTCTGTCCTGATCTTGTAGCTGTGGGCACCTCAGCTGAGACCCAGATAGACAACTGCTGGAGGCCTCTGTGGTAACGCAGGGCATCTGAGGCCAGGTGGCCAATTGGAGGGGCTCCTGGGGCCTTTCCCTAGTGCCCAGGGCCTGTCCCACGGGTGGGGGCTCAGGTTTCGGTTCCTCCTCGCTCCTGGGTCCCCAAGTTTCACTTTGATTCAGTGAGCGAGAGCCCCCGTGAGAGCCAACGCCGCTGAACCCCCACCCTCTCTGTTTGTGCACCTGGTTTGCCCCAGCCCCTCCCCCTCCTCTTACCCCCAGTTCCTTTTCCCATGGGGTGGTGTACTGGTGTTCGGGAGAGCCCTGGGGGTATGGGAGAGGGCAGGGTGCTGCCATGTGGGGATCTCAGTTCAGGGAATCAGTTTGGGGGCCAACCAGTAAAAGAGTGGTGGGGCCGATGGAGGGGGATATAGTCTCATCTGCTGTGGGCAGTCCCCTGCCAAGGCGGTCTGGAACTTGAGGTGAAATGGCCTTGGCTTTCTCCACCCTGCATGCCCTGCTGCCCCATGGGGAAGAGAATCCCACAGTCCTTTCTCTCTGGCTTGGGAATATGGTTTAATCCCTGGCTGCATAGCCTGTGGGTCAGAGAATTTACAAGGCTTCAAACCCCTGCCCCTGCTGTGTCCCTTCTTCCTGTCCCTTTCTCTGTCTGGGCCTCAGTTTTTCCATCTAAAACAGGAGATCAATGAATTGCTGAGGTTTTTTTCTGGCACCAAAATTTTGAGTTTCTCCTGGTTCCATCTCAAGTCCTCTTGGCATTATTGTAGGGCAGCAGTTCTCAAATGTTTGGTCCTGGGTCCCTTTAAACTCTTAAAAATTATCAAGGACTTCAAGGAGCTTTAGTTTATGAGGGTTAATTAAAATGGATGAAAGTTTAAAATATTTATTTATTAAAAATAACAGTAACAAACAAGTAACATAAATAATATTTTTGAAATAAGAAAGAACCGAATCTTCCAAACCCAAAATTTAGTATGAATGGCATTGGCTTACAGTTCTGCAGATCCCTTTAGTGTCTGGCTTAATAGAAAACAGCTGGACTCTCATAGCTGCTGCTGTATTCACTCCGTTGTGATGGAACACATCTTACAGCTTCTGAAAACCTCCACTGTAGACTCGTGAGAGAATGAGAGTGAAGAAGACAAATCACACATTAGCATTAATATGAAAATAACAGGTGCAGCAAACCACTATGGCACATGTATACCTGTGTAACAAACCTGCACATTCTGCACGTGTATCCCAGAACTTAAAGTAAAATAAAAAAACAATGAAAATAATTTTGTCCTCACAGATCACCTGAAAGTATCTTGGGGACCCCTTCTTCCAACCCTGGCAGGGCTCCCTGGACTACACTTTGAAAATTTCTGCTTCAGGCTGCTGCAAAGTCTGAACTTGCCTACTTATCACTCATATAGATAAGGTGAGCAATTAAGTGGTTTCAGTTAAAAGAAAGGTGTCATCAGTCATTTCTCCTGTTCTTAGCTCCTTAAGACAGTGGGAGCCATGGCAGGTCTTTGAGCTGAGGAGGGAGTGACAAGACACACTGGGTTTTGGAAATCCTCCACTAGCCGATTGGGATATGTATGTAGTGCTTCTTGCTTCTATCCCAGGTTGAGCTCCCACGGAAAGACATAGCTACCGAGCCTTCTCCCCTTCCCAGCAGATTGTTGGTAGGGCTTGAGGTCTGATTTCCCTCCAGCAGGCTTTCTTCTGTGCCAGCAGCAGCCAGCTCGTGCCACCCGAGAGCCTGGGGAGTGAGTGTTTCAGAACCCTGCCTATTCTCCCCATCCAGCTTAGCTCTGTACTAGCCTGCAGCCACCTGGAGACCCCATCTGGGGCATATTTTTGATGGGAAGAAAACCTAGCAATGCTATTGATTGGGAATGAAACAAAATAAAATAAAGAAGTGGGTTTGGTATTTATCTTGACTCCTGGCATTTGAGGAAAAGCAGGTCTAAAAGACAGTTGACAAAGGGGAGATTTTTGTTCTGATTCCACAGGGGCTTCTGGGTGTTTCTGGAATGTTTCTGGTTGACTCATGTGTGTGTGTGGGAGGGTTGGGGGGTGGGGGCGAGGTGTGTGTGTGCCCGCATGTGTTTAATTTTACTTTGAAATTTCTAGTTTTCATTTTTATTAGTACAAATTAACATTTGTGTTAGTCCTTCCTTGGGGCATTTTATCCCTGTGTTAGAATAAACTGTGGGAGAGGGAGAACAAGAGAATGTCTTAAGGTAATTTGAGAAAAATTGAGAGAGGAAGAAGGATAAAAGGTGTGAGAGAAGGTATGTGTGAGAAACACATTGCTTGTAGCAAAATTAACTGATCTATGAGAGGAAATAGGCAGAAAGAAAGGCATAGCCTCTTGAGGGACTGAACAGTGGAGGACGAAAGTGATGAGGGAGTCAGACACTTCCCAGCACCAGCCACCAGGTGGCACCATCGACCCAGGACAGCTTAGTTGCTGTCCAGGGTTAGGAACAAGAGGGGTAGGGTAGCAGGGCAGTGTGTACCGGCCATTCATGAGCTTGGTATGCTTGTAACTGGGTCGGAGGTGGCAGTGCCCAGGTGGGCTGACCATTAGCTGAAGTCTCACTTCTTCAGCAGCATTCAGTCAGGGAGGGGGAGGCTGGACCATTGCTAGTGGGGATTAATCTGGTCCTTTCTCACCTCCATGGTCCAAATGCCTTGATATAAACCTTTCTGGGAGTAGAGTCCTTGGTTCTACTCTAAGCCTTTACTTGCTGTGTGACCTTGGCCAAGTCACTTCTCTCTGGGCCTTGTTTTCCGCATATTAAAATGTGGAAATTGGAGCAGACGATTTTTGAGGTTCTTTTGGGCTCTGACACTCTGTGGTGTACCAGAGAGCACTAGAGCTGGAGTTAGATTCTAGATCTTTCTGTCAGCCATGTGACCTTGGGTAGGTCACTTCTCACATCTGTGGAGATTATAGTCACATCTTTCTCTTAGACTTACATAAAATAGAAGATGGAAAAATGCTTTTGAAATCTTTTTGGTGCTTTAGGAAAAGGAGAGTGTTGTGATTTTATAATTTTTGCTGGAATTTTTTTTTTTTTTTTTTTTGAGACAAGGTCTGGCTCTACCGCCCAGGCTGGAGTGCAGAGGTGTGATCTCAGCTCACTGCAACCTCTGCCTCCTGGGCTCAAGCCATCCTCCCAGCTCAGCCTCGGAGTAGCTGGGGCTACAGGCATGAACCGCCATGCCTGGTTAATTTTTGTATTTTTTGTAGAGATGGGATTTCACCATGTTGTCCAGGCTGGTCTCAAACTCATGAGCTCAAGCAATCCACCTGTCTTGGCCTCCCAAAGTGCTGGGATTACAGGCGTGAGCCACTGCGCCCGGCCTTCTCTGGAATTTAAATTAGCGGGAAGCAGGGGCTCCACCATCTTCACTGCTTAGAAAGTTTGTGCCTCTACATGTCACCACGGAAAAAGGCCTGCCTTATGGCAAGCGTTTGCTCAAGGTCACTGCATCTCTGTCCTAAATATCCATTGAATCTGCTCATTTCTCTCCATCCCCATTGCTACTGCCTTAGTCCAAGCACTCTCTTCTCTCATTTGGACTATTGCTGTAGCCTGCTGGCTGGTCCCCATCTCCAATGTCGTTGACTTGTCCAAATAATAGTCTGCCCTCCACATAGCAGCTGAAAGAAAATTCTGATCAATGACTTGCCTGAAGGGTTTTAACCTTCAAATCTGCCCATTGTTCTCAGAAGCTATGCAAACTTCTTAACAAGGCTGCCAGGCCCTCTCCACTCTCCTCTTTTCATGCGCACTCCAGTCATACCAAACCTCTTTCCGTTCCTTAAACACCACATGCTCTGTCCTGTTTGCAACCTAGGAGTCAGACAACCCGAGTTCTAGTGCTGACTCAACAATGACTACTCCTGGAATCTTGGACCAATCTCTGAGCCTCAGTTTCCCAATTGTGCTTGTGATTGGACTGTTATATGAATTGAATGAGATTATGCATGTAAAGTGCTCAGGATGACCCCATATATAATAAGTGCTCAATAAAGAGTGCCTTTTATTATGCTCTTCCCACTGCTTGAAAAACTGTCTTCCTCCCTCACCCTACTGTTTACCTGGCTGACATCCCAAACTTCAGGATCTAGCTTGTGTCACTTCCTAAGTGAGGGCTTCTCAGATGCTCCCCTCCAACCCAACTCCCCACCAGCACACAGAACCTGCCTGTTCATCAAAATATCACATTTGTCACTCGCCTGTTTTCCCAGCAAGACTGTGAGCTCCATGAAGGCAGGAACTGTGTCTGGAGCAGTCACCAATGTCACCTTAGTGCCCAGCACAGGGCCTGGTTCACAACAGCAAATATGTACCGAATGGGGGCCATGGATGTCACAGAAGCCATGGGCTCATCTGGGGAATGAGTGGAGGCTGCTGAGCAGAACACAGAGCCTTGCACGTCAAACGTTCCCCAAGTCCTGCCTGACCCCAGAGTCTCCATCCTCCAGGATCTTGTGACAGCCATTCTAGACGGGGAGGGAGCTCTTTCGTGATCTACATGCACACATGCATACATATGGATACTGGTGCCTGTGGTCCTCTTTCTGCCTGCCATACCTAAGCATGTGCTCCAGATGTGTATAGATCACAGCACCAAAGAGGAACTGCAATATGGGATAACTATAACGGCTAACATTTACTGAGTATTGACTCTGGATTTTAAATTATTAACTCATGTAATACTCACAACCACTGTACCAGGTGGATACTCTTATTATCCCCATTTTATAGAGATACAGAGAGAGTGAGACAATTTCCCAAGGTCACACAGCTCAATAGTGGCAGTGTTGGGACTAGTACCTAGGTGCTTACTGGCCATCCCAGTCTGCCTCTCACAGAGGGTGTCACAACAGGATGACATCCGTATGAGGCTGTGTTCTCCAGGGGAATATCCTCAGCTCTCTCCAACATGGGGCTTTGATTCTACTTTTTCGCAGTTCTGCCTGTTCCCCCATTATCCTGTCTGGCTGAGCTCAGGGGGACCTTGGCTCAGAGTCTGTTGCATCACTCAGGGGTACGCCATTTCTGAAGCTTTCCTAACACTGCTGCGCACACTTCCCTGTCACACCTGCAAGTTGGTCACCTTCAAGCGCAGCCGGCTGGTCACATGTGGGTTTTAAGCCACAGCAGGTGGCACCGTGAGTAGACTGGGGTTTGAGCCTTGCCTTTCCTTTTACTAGCAGTGTGAGCTTTGACAGCAAAGGGCTTTAGCTTCTTTGAGCTTCAATTTCCTCACCTGTCAAAGGGGGATAATAATTCCTGCCTTTTCTGGTAATTAGAAAATGTTGCCTATAATATTTTGATTAGCACTGGCACATGGCAAGTTTCAAAAATATCACCTATTATTTTCTTATTTCTATTATCAGAGCAAAGTGTTTTTACTCTGAATCTAGATTCCTCAAAAAGATCTCGTTGAGAACGTTCTAAATTCCCAGATTTTTTGTTTTCTCTCTCTCTCTCTCTTTTTTTTTTTTTTTTTTTTTTTTGAGACAGGGTCTCACTCTGTTGCCCAGGCTGGAGTGCAGTGGTGCAAACACAGCTCACTGCAGCCTTGACCTCGTGGGCTCAAGTGATCCTTCCACTTCAGCCTCCTGAGTAGCTGGGACTGCAGGCATGCACCACCACACCCGGCTATTTTTTAAAATTTTTTTGTCAAGACAAGATCTCGCTTTGTTGCCTAGGCTGGTCTTGAACTCTTGGGCTCAAGCAATCCTCCTGCCTCAGGCTCCCAAAATGCCAGGATTACAGGCTTTCTTTCTTTTTTAATGATCATTTTATTTATATTACTAAGTTTCATGATAGGATTGTTCAGCTTAGGGTCAGAAGAAAAGGAAAGAAATACCAACTGGAATTCATGCTGGCAGAATTTCAGCTCCATGTTTCTGAAACACAAATAATTCAAGTCGTAGCTGAGGGCAGCTGTCAGAAGTAAGGTGAGCCTGACACGACACTGGAGAAGCCTGGGTTTCTCATCCTGACTCAGCCGTGGCCTTGCGGTGTGGTCTGAGTCAGGTCCTGCCCTTCCGGAGCCTCGGTTAGGACCCACTGAGTCTGGACAACCCTTCCAGCTCCTGATCCTTTCTCCTCCCCCGCTCCCCGCCGCTCCCCCTCCCTCCTTCTTCATCTTCTCGCTCTTCGTTTCCTTTCTGTCTCAGACACAAACGCCATCCAGCACTTCTGAATAGTACTTTTGTTCCGTGAACATCTCTTTTCTGAAAAGGACGATTGGTCAGGTTTGTATCTTTTAACTGCTGGCACATTTTATCAGTTAAGAACCTGCGTACCTCCCTCTCGGGAGACAACCTTAAGGAGGCAGGCAGGCAGGCAGAGAGGCAGAGACAATGGGCGAAAAACAACTGTTTGGGGGCCTAATTTATGGTTCCTCCAGCAAATGCCTTCCTTCGTGGGAGCCCCTTTCCCCTTTCCTGCTCTTCCCCATGGCCCCGAGCATCTTCCAGCAGACCCCAGTGTATGACTCCTTCCTAGCTCCCCAAAGAATGGGGAGAGGGAACGAGCAGAGCCTGTGCCTGAGCCATCTCGTTCAAGGCCTTCAAGGCGGGGCTTGGAGTCCTGGCTTGGCACTCCCTTGCTGGTGATCTTGGGCAACCCATGCTGGGCCTCGATTTTCCTACTGGCACCAGAGAGAGCAGGACGCCTTCTTCAAATTCTTGTGCAAATTCGGCGAGAAGAAGTGCATGAGAAAGTGCTTTATAAGCTGTAAAGCTCTCTTGCCTATGAGAGTATCATTGTAGTTCATCTCACATACCCGCTCTGTGGCAAGGGACACATTTCTGAACATCTCCAAGGGTCGGTTTCCCCATCTGTAAAATGGGGACTATATACTTAGGTCATACAATTACTGTGAGAATTCCATAACAGAGGCAAAACACCTGGTACAGTTCTTGGCAGTGGGAGGTGCCCAGGTCTAGGCTGGGCCGTTTTCCGTTTCCCTTTCTTATTCCTCCACAGCGCCTTTCCCTGAATGCAGCGTATAGGCACGCAGCCGCAGGCGTTTGAAACCCAACTGGCCACTCTCTGGCCTGCACCCCACTTCGCTCCTCTGTAGAAGTCGGACAGTAACAGTATCTGCTTCGGAGGGCTGTGGGGGAAGATTAGACTGTGCCCATCCGTGGCTCGGCACAGCGTCAGCACCAGGTGAACGCTGGTGATGCTGCCAGGCCTTCCTCCCTCTGGACACCCAGGCACTGGGCATGGGCTGGACGGGACCCCGGCCACCATCTCCTTCGAGCCTACTCGTGGCCGGTGAAGAAAGCCAGGCATGAGAGGAGCAGGAAGCGAGTCGCTCAAGGGCGCACCGAGTCATATCCCAAGATCTTTGAAGGAGGTCCAGGGATCCGCGGTGCCACCGTGAGAATACAGCTCGGCAGAGAGGCCGAGGTCCCTGCGGGGAGGCCGGTCCCTTCCTCCTCGGCCCCGCGGTCCGGGCGCCCCGTGGGCCTAGCTCCCGCCCACCGGCCGGGAGTCCTCGGGGCTCGGGCTCCGACGGAGGAGTCCCCAGGGCCGGGGGCGGAGGGCAGACGACTTCCAGGAGGTCACCTGGATTTCCTGCGCGACGTGGAAGGAGAAATGAATTCAGCTGCGGCCGAACGTGGCGCAAAGAGAAGGCTGAGCGCGGCGCCCCCGGGAAGGAGGCCGCCCGCTCGCGCCGGCCTCCGCCAAGCATTTGCAATTTAATTGACATTGGCGGCAGGAAGCCAATCAGTCTAAGTCAATTGACGTTCCGAGATAAAACTAATCGGCGGCCGGCGCTGCCCCCGCCGGCGCGGCCGCGGCGGGGCCCGGGGCGCAGCGTGGAGGCGGCGGCGCGCCCTGCAGGTCCCAGCGCTGGCGCGTGGCTCGGCCCGCTGATTGCCGCGCGGCCCGCGGCGGCCAGGAGAGGCCCGTAATGAATGACTTTATTTGCCGGGGCCCCGCTGAGAACAATTGAGTTTGTTATGCTAACAACGGATGCCAGCTTTCCGGGGCCCCGGGGGGCGCGGGCGCGGCGGCAGCCGGGAGCTGGGCAGCGGAGCAGATGATGCGCGCCGGGGCGAGGGCGCCGGACGGGGGTGCCGGGCGGGGGTCGGACGGAGCTGGCGTCGGGACCCGGCCTGGAGGGGCGAGGCCGGTTCGGATGGCGGACGCGCAGCGTGGAACCGGGATGGGAGTTCTTGATCATTCCTTGATGTTGGACAGGCAGGTCCTCCTGGGTGCGACTGCCACTCTTTCTTCCCTCTGTCCCCGAGCCTGAGTGGGGGTTCTGATCTTGCTGGATGATGCCCTGACATAAACTTTTTTGTCTCTTGCACCGGTGGAAAATTAGAAAAAGGCACAAACACAAAGGCATCACTTTTTCCAGTGACCTGCTGTGGCTTGGGAAGTTCGGGACTGGATTTTGACCCTGCCACGTGTGCTTTGCGCCCTGGAGGGAAGGCCTTCCTTCCATCTCTGTCCCCTGTGTGTATCCCCATGCTCTGTGGCCAGGCGCCGGCCTCAGAAAGCTCTTCTTGCCCTACACAGAAGGCTGCCTCATGGAGATGGCTGGCTCTGAGGCCCCACAGCCTTCTCCTGCCTCCCCCTTCGGACCTTGAGTTCCAAGGGCAGAAGTCGTCTCCCATTCGTCCCAGACGCCCTCAGTGCCCAGCATAGGGCCTGGCACACACGTGGAAGTAGTAGTGAGGGAATGGACTTCTCTCTTCTTTGCGATCTCTTGCTTTCCCTCTGGTTGCAGACACCAGAGTCCCCTTTTCCAGTTCTGTTTTCAGGCATGCTGGCATTCCCTCACTCACTAAACAACTGAGAACCAACCTTTCATCCAAAAAAGCCCTGGCCAGGGAGAGATAATGTAACCCGTGTGATGAGTGTGTGGCAGGCACCTGCTATGTGCTCAGAGTTGGCAAAGGTGTAATAAGTGCTTGCTGAGGGCTTTTCCCTTTGTCATGGCACTCAGAGATCCCTGGTGCCACCCGGTGACAATCACCACCCCACCCCCCATTTGAAGACGGACAAACTGATGCCCAGCGTGTTTGAGAGGCAGCATGATGCAGTGGAATGGGTCTAAGCTGGGAATCTAACACTAGTTTGCTGTGTGAGCTTTGTCCATTTTCTTCCCCTCTCTGAGCCTCAGTATCCTTATCTATAAAGTGGGGGAGTTGGAGATGATGGCCTCTGAAGGCCAGTTGAGTGTGAGTTGTCTACAGGGAAGAGGGACCCAGGTCCCTGCTCCCAGCCCAGCTCTCTTTGGCTTTATAGTGTGACCACTGGGAAAAAATTGCCCTCTACCCTCAGCTGTACAAGGCTGATGGTGAGAGTGAAGCACTCACTTTGTGATAGGCGAGTGTGGTGAGTGTGTATGTACCAATACTGTTTTCCTTTGGCTGTTGGAAAAAATGAGGCTGGGTGCGGTGGCTCATGCCTATAATCCCAGCACTTTGGGAGGCTGAGGTGGGCAGATCACCTGAGGTCAGGAGTTCGAGAACAGCCTGGCCAACATGATGAAACCCCTAAAAATACAAAAAACCTCTACTAAAAATACAAAAAATTAGCCTGGCGTGGTTGTGTGCACCTGTAATCCCAGCTACTCAGGAGGCTGAGACAGGAGAATCGCTTGAACCTGGGAGGTGGAGGTTGCAGTGAGCCGAGATTGTGCCACTGCACTCCAGCCTGGGTGACAAGAGCGAAACTCCATCTCAAAAAAAAAAAAAAAAAAAAAAGAGAGGTTCAATAACCAATCCAGGGCCACAAAGCCAGTAAGTCACAAGGCTGGGATTCAAACCCAAGCACTCTGTTTTCAGAGCCTGTGCATATAACTGCTCTACTAGTTGGCAGAGGCAGCATATAACCCCCATAACACCCCTTCCTTGCCCTACACCTCACCCCAGTCTTAGTCCCACCTGCCTTGCTCTTGGAGCTCCAACGTGCATTCTGCATGTTTTCAGGGCAGGAGGAGCACTGATTTTTCAAGGTGATTTTTCTCTCCCTGGCCTATCCCTCTTGACCTAGGTATAGACAGCTGAGAGAAGGCTCCAGCAGGGAGGAGAAGCTGCTGTAGGAAGCTGGGACTCCTTGGCTCAGTCCTAGCTGGAATCTTATATTTGGGAAACGGTTTTCTAAAAAGGGCAGAGGGAATCCAGGTCTTGTCTGTTAGGAACAAGCTTTTACTATTCATGATCAAGGAAGTACATTTATTTCACAGTTGTTTTTGGTACTTGTCTTTCTGTCCCTCAAAGGTGGTCTGGAGAACTCTTTCTCTCTAGAGCTATACCCTTTTTAGCAAGACAAATTAGGAAGATAGTCCCTAATATGGGATAGTCTTGAAGGGTAGAACTGGAGGCGCCTTGGAATCATATATAGTGATTTTAAATTGTGTAACCCCAGCTGGGCAAGGTGGCTCATGCCTGTAATCCTAGCACTTTGGGAGGCCGAGAGGGGTGGATCCCTTGAGCTGAGGAGTTCAAGACCAGCCTGGGCAACATGGTGAAACCCCATCTCTACAAAAAATACAAAAATTAGCTGAATGTGGTGAAAAAAAATCATATCAATCCAATGTTTCCTCTTTAAAACAAGTATTTTGTAGCGCTTCCTTTGCTATCCTAAAATGAAATTTAGAGGAAATAGAATCCACTCATACACATAATTTAAAAAATAGATTTAATGCCCCAATTGTAACAAAAAGGGGAAAGAAAAGTAAAATCATAATAAAATGATATATTTTCATTATGTAAATGCTCAGACATGACTACACCAGAAGACATAATAAAGTAGTTAGTTGCTTGCACTTAGGCGTAGAATCTCCATGAATGCAGCAGCTATAAATGTGGACAGCTGTGTTTTTTGGCAATATAAATATCTCTGGCGGTGTTGCCATCAGTGAACTGATTTTCTGAAATTATGAACATGTCCTGATAAAATTCCAACCAAAGCAAAGCGTAATCTTCCCTCAATGTATATGTTGGTTGTATTCTTGGAAAAGTTAGTGTAAATGAAAACACCAAATCTCTGTGTATGTCGGAAACACAGAGTTATGTTCATGGCTCACCTATCTATAAAGAGTTTTCACCAACTTCAGTGTGTGATGGGTCATTCCAAAGATGTGTGAGATGCAGGCCAATTATTTACCGTGCTGAACTGTGCTGGGTAGCATCCCTGGCCCCATCCATTAAATGCCATACTTCCTCCCCCATAACAATATTAGTAATAATTCATAGATTTCCCAAATCTCCTCTGATCTGATCATGCTTACCGACAACCACTGGAATGAATGGGTTTCTCTCTAGGGTATCTTTCTTTTGGGAAGTTCTGTGGAGTCTGTGAAAAAGCAAAATCTGCAGGTATTGTGCACCCATTGTGTGCAAAACCTGACCCGGAGACACAGAAGCATAGCCTGATTTAGATGTGGAGGTGTGAAAGCTACGTGACCCCGCTCCATGGGTGCTAAGCTCCCAGGGGCCTCAGTCAGTGAGCATAGCCCCACCCACATCTTATCCTTGTCTGGGATGCCCCTTGCCTCTTCCTTCATGCCCCCAAATCCAAATCCTGGCTCAGATGCCACCTTCTCCTTCCAGGAGAAGGACCCCCCATCCTCCTGCACTGGACAGGTTCTTTCTGTCTCTAGACTTTCATTGCCTGCAGTTGAGGGCTCTCTTAGGATACTTTCACAAGCTTGGACTGTAAGTCCATCTCCAGGCCTTCTCTCCTTGACAGAGTATGGGCTCCCTGAGGGCTGAGACTGGGTTCCCTGGCAGGGCTATGCTTGGGACCAGAGCACCAGCAACAGATCAATGAATGCTGGAACCAAGGGATTCACCTTAGCCAGGTACCCCTCTTTGTACACATCTTGTTCTTTTTATTTTTTATTTATTTATTTTTATTTTTTTATTTTTTTTGAGATGAAATCTTGCTCTGTGGCCCAGGCCGGAGTGCAGTGGCATGATCTTGGCTCACTGCAACCTCTGCTTCCTGGGTTCAAGCGATTCTCCTGCCTCAGCCACCCAGTAGCTGGGCCTACAGGTGTGTGCCACCACACCTAGCTGATTTTTGTATTTTTACTAGAGGTGGGGTTTTGCCATGTTGGCCAGGCTGTTCTTGAACTCCTGACCTCAGGTGATCCATCTGCCTCGGCCTCCCAAAGTGCTGGGATTACAGTGGGGAGCCACAGGGTCCATCCCTTGTTCTTTTTAATTTAGCAAATGGCTTCTGTTTTCTTGTCCTCACTCTCAGTCCTTATTGACTCTTAGGAGGTGCTCACTGTGCAGACAGCACTCTCTCACTTGGAATCCAGCAGCTTGTTTGCTCTGACCAGTGCTGTAGGCCTGGCATGATTTATTGACCCCATTGCACAGATGTGTTGAGAGAAGTGTAAGATCACACAGCTGGCAAGTGGCAGAGCCAGAGCTTGCTCTCTGTGCTCCACCACTTTTGTCACTTAAACACTTCCAAGGCAGAGCCTCTTCCCTGGGGTGTCATTCATCCATTTACTGGCTCCTGATGTGGTGTCGGGCACTGTGGTCTCAGAGGTAGGTAAGGCCTGGGAGACCCCACTGTTTTCCCTCAGGGATTTTCCCTAGGGACCCCTTTGTTTTCCCTTAGGCAAGGCATGGAAGGGGAGCATCAGATGTCCCCTGGGAGGGTGTGGCCACTATTTCCCAGTAGGAGGTCACACCGGAGCAGCTGTCTCCCTTCTCCTTTGTACCTGTTTTTTGTTTTTTTTTTTTTGCCAGTTTCAGTGAAATTCACTCTACAAGTATTTATTGTGTGCCTGCTATGTGTGCTAGGTATTGTCCTAGTTGCTGGGGACACAGCAATGAACAAGACAGACAAAAATGTTTGCCCACATGAGTGACGTTCTAAGGAAGAAAGACAATAACTAAATAAGGAAAATAAGCAGCATGCTGTTCTATGCTCTGGAGGAAAACAAAGCTAGGTGAGGAGACAGGGAATGAAGCAGGGCTGAGGGGGGGGGGGCTTTGCTGTTTTTGGAGGGTGGTCCTACTGATGAGCTGACGTTTGAGCAGAGGCCTTAATGGAGGGAGGAGTGAGCCAGGCAGATATCTGGGGGAGGAAGTTTCCGGAGAGAGGGAACAGCAAGTGCAAAGACCCCAAGGCCGGTGAGCTTGGCATGACTGTGGAACCCTATGGAGGCGAGTGTGGCAGGAGCAGAATAAGCGGGGAAAGAGTGGGAGGAAACGAGGTCAGAAAGGTGGGATTGCTGGG
This sequence comes from Homo sapiens, assembly GCF_000001405.40. Lineage (NCBI taxonomy): Eukaryota > Metazoa > Chordata > Mammalia > Primates > Hominidae > Homo > Homo sapiens. The sequence goes on along the minus strand of NC_000009.12, from coordinate 36,980,936 downwards.
GGGGTACCCAGTTAAGTACCAGTAAAGCCTAGTAAGCTGTGAGGGGCTGTGGGTTTTGCTCAGAGTGGGAGTAGACAGCAGCCTAGAACCTCCAACAGGGAACTTCAGAGGTGCATTTTCTCCCCTACCTCCAGTGAGTCACTCACTCCAGCATACCTTCTCTCCTAATCACCTCCCGAACCTGCCCCCTTCTCTGGATAGCCATTCCCACTGTTAGCTCTGTCCTGGCTGAGGGCTCCCACTCGACCCTGGGCCTCAGTCTCATCTCCCTCCAACAGGGTCTCTACACTGTGGCCAGATTAGACTGTATGACCCTCCTCCCCCAACCCTTCTGTGTCTGGAATTGTGAATGTATTGATATCATCAGACAAGGGACTGACTGGAACAGAGACTGGGGAATCTGGGATGTGGGGATTGGGGCTGCTGGTAAGTGGGTTGTCATTTTGTCTGGGAGGCAGTGCAATGCGGTGCAGTGGGTGGCCCAAAGCCCCTCCCCCAACCCTTAACCAGCTCCTAATCCCCAGCCCTGTCTCTGGCTTCGGCAATGGCTCCCCCCAGAGGCACCTGCTTTATTTATGGCTTCTCCCCAACTCCCCACAGGCAGAGGGAAGTCCATTAGTGTGTTTGCAGACTCTGCCAGCTCTGAGCAGATGCAAAGCTTATTTGCAGACTGTCATTGCCCTGGCCTCCTCCAGAGACTCTCATGCTGGGCTCAGCCTTGTGCCTCCAAGAGCCACCTCCCTCAGGCAGCCACCGGTGCAAGCCGCTTTCCTGATTTCCCTAAGCATAGTCTTGGCTTGGAGTTGGGAAAATTAAATTAAATGCCACGAAGGAACCATAGCAGTGCATTGGGCCATGTTGACAGTAGGGAATGAAGTCTTCTCTGTCGATAGGAGTTCATTGTTTTGACATAAATTAGGGAGGCATTGAGAGAAAGTGGAAAAAGTCTTGACCTGAGAACCTGGGACCCAAGTTCAAGTCTCTGTTAGGCTGCTGAGTATCCTGGTGATTTGGGGCAACAGTTTATTGCCTTCTGGGCCTCAGTTTCCAAGCTGCACAAGGAGCTGTAGACAGGCTTGGAATCCACTCCAAGCTCCAGAATTCTCTGATTTGAATTTTGGGGATGTTTCTTTCATCCAATGAGCTGGGGACAAAGTGATTTGTCCAAAATGGCTTGGTAATTCTGAAATTGCCTGGAGATTGGCCTCACTGGGGTACAAGGCACTGAGGAGGTGAGACA